>NC_000010.11:1070606-1222121 GCF_000001405.40 Homo sapiens | reverse complement strand
TCACACCAGTTAGAATGGCAATCAGTAAAATGTCAGGAAACAACAGGTGCTGGAGAGGATGTGGAGAAATAGGAACACTTTTACACTGTTGGTGGGACTGTAAACTAGTTCAACCATTGTGGAAGTCAGTGTGGTCATTCCTCAGGGATCTAGAACTGGAAATACCATTTGACCCAGCAATCCCATTACTGGGTATATACCCAAGGGATTATAAATCATGCTGCTATAAAGACATATGCACACATGTTTATTGTGGCACTGTTCACAATAGCAAAGACTTGGAACCAACCTAAATGTCCAACAATGATAGACTGGATTAAGAAAATGTGGCACATATACACCATGGAATACTATGCAGCCATAAAAAAAAGATGAGTTCATGTCCTTTGTAGGGACATGGATGAAACTGGAAACCATCATTCTCAGCAAACTATCGCAAGGACAAAAAACCAAACACCGCATGTTCTCACTCATAGATGGGAATTGAACAATGAGAACACATGGACACAGGAAGGGGAACATCACACACTGGGGACTGTGGTGGGGTGGGGTGAGGGGGGAGGGATAGCATTAGGAGATATACCTAATGCTAAATGATGAGTTACTGGGTGCAGCACACCAACATGGCACATGTATACATATGTAACAAACCTGCACGTTGTGCACATGTACCCTAAAACTTAAAGTATAATAATAATAATAAAATTAAAAAAAAAAAAGAAATGAGCATCTAAAAACTATCCTTATTTACCTTGATATTGACCTCAAAAGACAAGGGTTTTATCTAGGGTTTTATATAGGTTAATAAGCACTGTAATGAAGAGTCTGATGACTTGGACTGTCAGAATTGGACCAGAATGTTTGGATGGATTTGTGAGCATCTATGTAGACACAGCAGTCAGGAGTTTGAGGTTCTACACTTTCACTGTCTCAGGCACACTCTAAATCCACTACAGATCATTTATGGCCAGCTCACTGCAATTGCTGGTTGGACTGGCATTTTGTCAGCCTTAAGTGGCATCTTCAACTCCTTCCCACCTCTCACAATTAGCCAGGAAAGAGCCAGAGGAAATGGGCTCTGCAGGATCACCGACATTCAAGCCACCCTGGGGCTGCTCAAACTCATCAGGGAGCCTGTGGAGAAGGCATCCCAAGACTGAACACCTCCAAAAATAAACACTCAGGAGCAACTCATGCACCTGGCTCCTCAGGCAAAATTAGTCTAACCTGAAAGCTTTGGGTTAACTCCTAGGAACTAGCTGTTAATTAAAGCAGGGCCTCCCTGTTGTCATGGCATTAACAGGCTATCAAGTGTACTTCATGGAAAGTTAGTTGTGCAGTAGCAACTGGTAAAAATTTAGAAAGGCCTTACAATATAATAGGCAACTTTCAAGATCTCGAAAAAGACCACAATAGTTAAAACGTTGGGAGAATATAAGAATACTATAACAGAAATGGAGGGACAGCAACAACCACATTCCCTGAGAAAATATCCCCCAAATGAAAGAGTAAAGTCCCTAATATTGTGGTAATGTTGTGGAAACTGTTAGGTGTGATGGCTCCTCCATGCTTTCAATGTTGCCTTCCGCAGAAAGTTGATGTTCATAAAGACCCCACCTGCAAAAAGTCAGTTTAAACCAAGTGTTTTGAGTCATACGAACTATTTTATGTTCAATTTATCATCACCACCATCATCACCATCACGACCATCATCACCACCACAATCACCATCATCACCACCACCATCACCATCATCATCACCATCATCACCACAATCACCATCATCCATCACCACCACCATCACCATTACCACCATCACCACCATCACCACCACCATCACCATTACCATCATCACCACCATCATCACCACCACCACCATTATCACCACCATCATCACCATCACCATCATCACCACCATTACCATCATCATCATCACCACCATCATCACCACCATCATTACCATCACCATCATCACCATTGCCATCATTATCTTCACCATCATCACCATCATCACCACCACCACCATCACCATTACCACCATCATCACCATCACCATCATCACCACCACCACCATCACCATTACCATCATCACCACCATCATCACCATCACCATTACCATCATCATCACCATCATCACCACCATCACCATCATCCATCACCACCACCATCACCATTATCACCACCATCATCACCATCACCATCATCGCCACCACCATTACCATCATTATCACCATCACCATCATCACCACCACCATTACCATCATCATCACCATCACCATCATCATCACCACCATCATTACCATCACCATCATCACCATTGCCATCATTATCTTCACCATCATATCACCGTCTCCACCGCCACCATCATCACCATTATCTTCACCATCACCATCACCTCCATTAACACCATCACCACCACCATTACCTCCATTATCACCATCACCACCACCATTATCATCACCATCACCATTAAAGCTGCAAAGAAGAGATTTGTGCTTTATCTGGGGAAGAGCTGGGCATTATTTGCTGTGCCTGCCCAGGCTCAATACCTCTCATTCGCTCTTTTTTCCGTGAATGACTCAAAGACCGGTCCAAATTTTATCTCATCAAGTATCTAGTTGGTTACAAAGTGAAAAGCCATCTGAAGCCTCTCAAAGGGTTTTTTCTCCAAAGAATGCAGCGATCTTTCTTCCCAAGGCATAGCCTTAAGTACTATGAATGTATAGTGAAAGAATGTCAGCTCTTACAGACAATTAGAAAATACACTGGAAATTACTTGGGATCTTTAGGAGAAAGTTCCTATATAAACCCAAGCATTAGTTACCATTCAGCACTGTATTAGTCCATTCTCACATTGCTCTAGAGAAACACCTGAGACTGGGTAATTTATAAAGAAAAGAGGTTTAATTGGCTTGAGGTTCCACAGGCTATACAGGAAGCATGATACTGGCATCTGCTTGGCTTCTGGGGAGGCCTCAGGAAGCTCACAATCATGGCAGAAAGTGACATGGCCAGAGCAGGAGTGAGAGGGCGGGGGAGATGCCACACACTCTTTTTTTTTTTTTTTTTTTTGAGACGTAGTCTTGCTCTGTCGCCCAGGCTGGAGTACAGTGGCACAATCTCGGCTCACTGCAAGCTCCACCTCCTGGGTTCAGGCCATTCTCCTGCCTCAGCCTCCCGAGTAGCTGGGACTACAGGCGCCCGCCACCACGCCCGGCTAATTTTTTTTTTTTGTATTTTTAGTAGAGATGGGGTTTCACTGTGTTAGCCAAGATGATCTCAATCTCCTGACCTCGTGATCCGCCCGCCTCTGCCTCCCAAAGTGCTGGGATTACAGGCGTGAGCCACCGTGCCCGGCTGATGCCACACACTTTTAAATGACCAGGTCTCATGAGAACAATTCACTGCCACGAGGACAGCACCAAGGGGACGGTAGTAAACTGGGCATGAGAAATCCGCCCCATGATCCAGTCATCTCCCACCAAATTCCACCTCCGACACTGGGGATTACATGTCAACATGGATTTCAGTGGGGACACGGATCCCAGCCATATCAAGCACTGTCAGTGGGGGAAAGTGAGGGGGAAATTGCATTTCCACAGCTTCTAAAACTTCAATAGGAACTTTCTAAAGAAAGCATTTAATATTCACTTACGTTATCATATGTATGTAAATGATATAATCACTATACTATTTTATATATAATTCAAATGCAAAGCAGTGGGCCATTTCCATATTACAATATAATCCAGATTTAATGTACAAGATTTTGGCTGGGTGCAGTGGCTCAGGCCTGTAATCCCAGCACTTTGGGAGGCGGAGGTGGGCGGATCACCTGAGGTCAGGAGTTCGAGACCAGCCTAGCCAACATGGCGAAACCCCATCTCTACTGAAAATACAAAAATTAGCTGGGTGTGGTGATGAGCACTTGTAATCCCAGCTACTCAGGAGGCTGAGGCAGGAGAATCTCTTGAACCTGGGAGGCGGAGGTTGCAGTGAGCTGAGATTGCGCCACTGCACTCCAGCCTGGGTAAGAGAGCGAGACTCCATCTCAAACAAAACAAAACAAAAACATACAAAATTTTTTCAAAGAAAGAGAAACATAAATTTAAGCTTCCTCTTGCTCATGCTAGTTCTCCAAGTAATTGTGGGGAATGTGGTATAGGGGGGCGGGGGGTGTCAAGGGGACCCTAGAAAGGAGAACACAGAACACCTGAGGGACCCACAGAGACCCACCAGACGCTCCGTCACTTCTGGGCCTGGCGGAGCTCCTGCCCATGGCGACCCTTGGTAATTAGGGGACACAGCAAGAGTGGAGGTGCCCAGGCAACCCCAGCACCTTCACAGGAGCCACCTCACCGACTCCTCACAGCCTGGGCGGCAAGCACTGCTATTACCCTCGTCATTAGAGGAAGTAACCGGGTCACAGTGACTTTGAGACACTTTCCCAAGGTTACACAGCCAGCTTACCATGGAGCCGGGACTGACACCTGGACCAGGGTAAGAGCTGAGTCCCACTCACCACCTATTTCTGCACAGCCCTCCAGCTAAGCATAAATATTTACATTTTTAATGGCTGAAAAGTGAGAAAAACGGTGTTTCACAACCTCTGAAAACGACACGTCCAACTGCGTGTTCAAGTCTGCATCTGTAAATGAAGCATTGAGGACGCGGTGGCCCCTTACTGGCCTGAGCACGGTCCAGGCCGTGGCTGCACTCACGCAACAGAGGCGGGTGTTGGTGAAAAGAGAGTCTGGCCCATGAAGCCTGGGGTTTTTACTCCCTGACCCTTGACTGGGAAGTTGGCCCGGCCCAGGCGGGATGGTGTGGCTCTGGAGCCCAACCCCACATGGCGCTTATTTCTGAAGCCCCTTCCTCGTGCCAAACGCCCAGCCATGGTGAGGGGCCCTTTGACCTCTGTTGCAGTCCTTCCTCTTCTCCCACCTCCCAAAACCAAGGCGGCTTCCCTCTTCTCACCCCTCCCCGCCCTTTTATCTCCTAGTGCACAGCAGCAAACACCTCGTCAGGAAGTTCCGCGGGCACCTGCGCACCAAGATCGAGTCCGGGGAAGGGACGGTCCCCGTGCGTGGCCCCAGCGCAGTGCAGACCTGGGACGGCGTCCTGCTGGGGGAGCAGCTGATCACCATGTCCTGCACGGACAAGATCGCCAGGTGAGGCCCACGGCTTCCTCTCGAGGATGTTGGCTGCGGCCGGTGGGGAGTGCCAAGCCCCAGGCTCCCTGCATCCCACTTCTGGTGAGGTCAGTGATGCTGGGCACATGCGGTCAGGGCCCTGTGCCTGAGCCGTGGAACTCCACAGCCATTCCACATGTTCAGTCCCACACCCTGAGGCCAAGGCACCCCGAGTCCCTGAGGGAGCAAGGCCCTGCCACCCGAGGCTGCCGCTGCAGAGGCAAACAGCCCCGAGCAAGGCCCGGCAACCCCAGGCTGTGGCTGCATGGGGCAAACACAGCCTGGCCTGAGGCTGCCGGCCAGTCGGGGTGGCCATAGGCTAACGAGAAGCCAGGGCCTCCCTCCCCACTGGGCTTTCCACAAAAACCTGACTAATGTCCAGGGACAGCCAAAGGCCTTGAGGTCAGCTGGGTGGAACACCTTTCCCCTACCATCCCGAGATATTGTCTTCTTGGATGGAGTTTTCAAAGCCTCCATGTGGAGGTCTCGGGATGAGAGGCCTCGGCTGAGCTCTGTGCAGAGGAGCAGGAAGCTGCAGAATGGGCACCCGCCTCCCTCCCAGCACCTCCAGTCGCTGCCACGCCCCAAGCTCCTGAGCTGCTCTGCCCAAGACCTCCCCCAACCTTGGTCTGACGCGTTGAGACCTCCCCCTACCTTGGCCTGATGCCCCGAGACCTCCCCCAACCTCGGTCTGATGCCCCGAGACCTCCTTGACCTCAGTCTGATACCCTAAGACCTCCCCCAACCTCAGTCTGATGCCCCAAGACCTCCCCCAGGTTAGTCTGATGCCCTGAGACTTCCCCCAACCTTGGTCTAATGTCCCAAGACCTCTCCGTCCTCGATCTGACCCCGAGACCTCCCCCACGTTGGTGACACCCCCACGTTGGTGACACCCTGAGACCTCCCCCACGTTGCTCTGAGGCCCCGAGGCCTCCCCCACGTTGCTCTGATGCCCTGAGGCCTCCCCAACGTGGATTTGAGGCCCTGAGGCCTCCCCAACGTGGATCTGAGGCCCTAAGACCTCCCCAACGTTGATCTGAAGCCCCTAGACCTCCCCCACATTGGTCTGACGCCCTGAAAGCGCCATCCCCAATGCAGGACATTTCTGTAACTTTGGTTTGGAAAATAGGGGTCACAGGTGTGGGGACAGCATGAGTTTCCCTAAAAGAGCCATGAATTCCCCACAAGCCTGATAAACTAACAACAATGTGGTCACAGGAAGTCTGGGTTGAGGGACCCAGAACACCCTTGGACACTCTGGTCGTCCTGTTCCTCTGTCATCTGCAGCTGGAGTGAAAACAGCGCATTTGGTGCAAATGTGGTCTCCGGGTGCCACCCCCAACTCCCAACGAGGCTGTGGCCCTGAGACCCTCTGTAAGGACGTTTTGTGGTGGAGCCAGGCAGGAGATGCAAAGGTTGGTCCCCAGGATGTGCAGGAAGGAGGCTGAGTGGGGAGGGCCAGGAAGCCGAAGGCCTGAGCAGGACCCGGGGCATCACCTCTGATGCTTGCATGGAGGCTTTTGTGCCCATGGGGTCCTGGGCTCCCTACAACCACAGCACGATCTGGGGAGAGAACGGAGAGAAGGGAGAGGGTGCGCACAGCCAGCCCCCGTAAAATCCTCTTCAAAACGCAGCCACCCAGGGGTTCTAGCACAGACAGATGCCCATGGGGCAGGCAGTGCCTGCATGGGACAGGCACCTGCCATATGCCCAACAGATAACAGGACAACTGTTTACCCATCCTAAGCCCGAGTGCTGGGCCCTGGCCCGTCCACAAAACCCAAGGGGCTGGAGGTCAGGGGGGTGACATCAGGGGACACAGGGCCCAGGAGAAAACGGGAGACCCCCGCCGCACCTGCCCCCGCCCCTGCAGGCCCCTACAGCTCTGCTCCCCGGGATCTACACAGACCGGCTTCTGGACTCCAGGCAGATGAAACCCCAGCCCTAACAACAATGGTTCCACCTTCTCATGGAAATCGTGGGAGAGCTGGGGAAAATGGTGCCCTTTCCTTCCTGGCTCTGGGCACTCCTGGCTGGGGAGCCACAGGGTCAGCCTAATGACAGTGGACCAAAGCCGTGGTTTCTGCATCAAAGGGAACAGCCCATTGTCGACAAATAGCTCATTCTTCAAAAGAAAATGTATTCTTCCTTTACAATGTTTTCATCTATTCATGATGAGGAAAAAGCAGTAATTTTCACCTCAACTGAAATTCTCTTGGTGCCCTAAGATAGCATTGGGTTTCTAAATTTACTCTCTGGTGCCCCAGAAAAATGAAGTAAATTAGCACCTACAGAATTGAAACTTGGCCGTCCCTGGGATCTTCAACATCCATAGATGGTGGACTAAACACAGGTGCGAACCCACGCGACGCCGGCAGGTCCAGGCACAGGTGCAAACCCACGCGACGCTGGGTACAGGTGCAAACCTACACAACGCCAGAAGGTCCAGGCACAGGGGCAAACCCACGCAACGCTGGGTACAGGTGCAAACCTACACAACGCCAGAAGGTCCAGGCACAGGGGCAAACCCACGCAACGCTGGCAGGTCCAGGCACAGGTGCAAACCCATGCGACGCCGGCAGGTCCAGGCACAGGTGCAAACCCACGTGACGCTGGGTACAGGTGCAAACCTACACAACGCCAGAAGGTCCAGGCACAGGGGCAAACCCATGCAACGCTGGCAGGTCCAGGCACAGGTGCAAACCTACACGATGCTGGACACAGGTGCAAACCCATGCAACGCCAGCAGGTCCGGGCACAGGTGCAAACCTACACTACGCTGGACACAGGTGCAAACCTACATGACGCTGGACACAGGTGCAAACCTACACGATGCTGGACACAGGTGCAAACCTATGTGTCACCGGCAGGTCCGGGTACAGGTGCAAAGCTACACAACGCTGGACACAGGTGCGAACCCACGCAATGCCAGGTCTGGGCACAGGTACAAACCTACATGATGCTGGACACGTGCAAACCCACGCGATGCCAGCAGGTCTGGGCACAGGTGCAAACCCACGCAACACTGGCAGGTCCGGGCACAGGTGCAAACCCACGAGATGCTGGACACAGATGCAAACCCACACAACGCTGGCAGGTCCAAGCACTCAGTGGCCACTCAAGGGGCAGGGTTGTCTCTCTGTAACAAAATCTCCTTGAAAAACAAAGGTCTACACTGCTTCCTGGCCAGGGGCTTTCAGTGTCCGGGATTTGGGGGTGATTCTAGACTCCTTTTGAAAACAGAATACAAGTTTGTGGAAATTGTCACACCCGTGGCTCTGGGCAGCTAGAGTGAGAATTCCTGAATTTGTCCAGGAATTAATCCTAAGCACCTGCCGGGTTAGAACAGAGTTGCGTCCTCTCTCTCCATTCACAAGTGCTTCATCCCCGAGTCTGGTGACAGGACAGGGGTGCAGTGGACAGGGGGGTGCCCAGGTGTGGGGGCACAGGCAAGGCTTGAAATGCCCCTAGCCACTGGCCCAGGCCCCTCGAAGCCCAGCCACCTTCTGGTTCTGGTACTGGTTCTCTCCTGTCTTAGACTTGGCTTCCCCTTGTCCCCATCATCTCTTCTCCCTCCTCCTCTCGCTCTCGGCCTCTCTCTGTCTCTGCGTCTGTCTCTATGTCTCTCCCTCTGTCTCTCTGTATCTCTCTCCCTGTCTGTCTCTAGCTTTGTCTCCATCTCTGTCCTTGTCTCTCTGTCTCTTTCTCTGTGTGCCCATCTCTGTCTCTCTTTGTCTTTTTATCTCTGTCCTTGTCTGCTTGTCTCTGTCTTTCTGTGTCTCTGTCTCTCCCTCTCCATCTCATCCTCCTCCCTGGCTGTGTGTATCTCATCTCTTCATCTCTGCTCCACTCACCCTCCCTCATTGATGAGCTCCCTGAGCTGCTCCTTCTGCCTCCCTCCCTCTTCCCCAAAGCCTTTCCCTCCTCGAGTGCTGCCACGCTGTTCTCTGCATGGAGCTTGCAGGGGTTCAGTTCCAGGTACTGTCTGCTTCTGCGTCTGAGTTCTGACCTCCAAGGGCTCATCAGTGCCGCTTGGCTGCAGGGTGCCTGCCACGGTGGGTTGGACTCAGGGCCGCTTGGCTGCAGGGTGCCTGCCACAGTGAGGTGCACTCAGGGCCTCTCAGCTGCAGGGTGCCTGCCACGGTGGGGTGGACTCAGGGCCACTTGGCTGCAGGGTGCCTGCCACGGTGAGGTGGACTCAGGGCCACTTGGCTGCAGGGTGCCTGCCACAGTGAGGTGCACTCAGGGCCTCTCAGCTGCAGGGTGTCTGCCATGGTGGGGTGGACTCAGGGACACTTGGTTGCAGGGTGCCTGCCACTGTGGGGTGCACTCAGTGGCCCTCGGGGGCCCTCAGTCAACAGCCCTTGTTGGTTTAGCAGGAGGGGGAGGAGGGGCAGCCATGGTCCCGACAATGACAGAAGTGGTGCCACCACTCGGAGCCTCTGCTCTGGGCCAGGCACAAGCAGTGACATGGGGACACAGCCTTTGGCAAGAAGGTACTTGTGTATCTGCCAAAATCAGACCTGAGCATAGACCAGGATGTACCTGCTAAGGCAGGAGCTGTTTCAGAATTGCGCCGCACTTGCCGTTTCTGAGCAGCAGCATATGTTATGCTAATGATTCCAGACCATAAGCATCTGGGCCGTGCATTATTTGTACAGAGAGACCATCTGATAACGTATGTGTTCATCTGTTTTCTATCCTGCACAAAAACAAAAATTAAACCTAGGGCTTAAATAACATTCAACATAAAGGACCCTTCATACACAAATACGGATGAAATATTCTAAGTCAGGGAGTTAATGACAGTCAGGGCTCTGTGGAGAGTGGAGTCTGAGGACATGGAGGTGGAAGTCACCGTCTGTGAAGCGGCAGGAGGACACACGTGGCCGTGGAAATGACCTCACGTGAGGCACCATGCCCGGCGCAGGATGCACAGGAGCCAGCGTCATCCTGAGGGCCATGGTGAGATGTGCAGGCAGTTTTGAAAGGTGGTTGTCAAATAAGTCATTATTAAAAACTAAATTACATAAACTTAGAACTAAATATAGTAAAACAAAGGTAACAGGTACTCAAAACTCACCACTCCAAATTATTTTACTGTTATTTGTGCTCTTGAAATTATTTACACCTCTTATATCTGTGTGGTGGAAATACCACAAAATCCTGCTGTTTTCCAAACCCCTTCATCGCTGCCCAAACCTGCTCAGTGACCTCACACTGGGCCCTTGAAATTGGCCACAGTGATGGTGCTTACACCATGGAAATTGGAAAGCTACACACGTGATTGTTTCTTTCTTTCGAGAGCTGACTGTGAGCAGCATACCATGGTCTCGTCCAGAAATAACATATTTGAGGCTGCTGGGAGTCCACTGTCTGAACCCGGGAGGCCCTCACCCTCCTTAGAATCCATGCTTCCCACCAAACTCTAAGCTTCTGGCAGGTGGGGACCTTGTCTCATTCCACGTCATGCATTCAGTGTCTGGCACAGTGGGTGCAGGAACATAGCAGGCATACATAGATCGATAGATGACAGACAGATAGATGGATAGAGATGACAGATAGATGATACAGCACATAGCAGGCATACATAGAACAATAAATGACAGATAGATGAAGATGACAGATGATACATAGATTATAGATCAGATGATAGTTAATAGATGATAGATGATAACAGATGACAGATAATAGATGACAGATGATAGGTAGATGATAGATGATAATGATAGATGATAGATGAAAATTAGATGATAGATCATAGATTAGATAGATGATAGATTATAGATTAGATGACTGATCGACAGATGATAGAAGATAGATAGGAGGGAGGGAGGGAGGGAGCGATGGGAGGCTGAGCCACAGCAGGAGAGGACAAGGGTTTTGAACCCCTCACAGCGCCATTGGCAACACCTTGGTGGGCTGGCAGGGAGAGTGCCCAGAGCCTCCCTGGCACAGGCTGGCAAGTACAGCCTCCGCGTTGCCCAGGTGCTAGCTGCAGCAGCCTTCAAGCACCGGCTGACTTGGCTATGATGGCTCCACTGAGACTCGTCCCGAGGAGACGTCTACACCACGGGGAGGCCCCAGCGCGGGAAGGGGCTGCTTCCAACTGTCCCCACCTTTCCATCTGCCTGAGGCCCACCTGCCAGGCTTCCTGCCAGGCTTCTTTACACCCCCACGAGGTACAAAGTGCTCCACACGGTCAGCATCCAGGAACCGCTCACTGCACTCATGAGCGAAGGAAACCTGCTGTTTTGTCAGAATGGCCATGACGTGAAATAGGAATCGCTGCGACGTGATTGATGATGCCCTGGGAACTGGAAGTTGAAAGGACTGCAGGCTTCTGACGTGCCACGCAGACGACTTTATGGAGGCGAAGCACGTGTCTTCTGCTCAGCCACTAACTTTGGCCAGGGCTCCAGAGGTATGTGTGCTGCTCATACATTTTAGGGATGTGCTAAAACCAGTGAAACCTACAGATTTTCTCTCCTAGACAGCACGAGTCTCATCCCACACGAGGCCGGGAACCCGTGGTCATATTTGCTTCTTCGTTTAGAAATTTCTCTGGGAATAGACGCAGTTCTGTTTGAGCAGCCATGAGATTAATGTCTGGCTGGCTTTTGATCTCCGACTTCGTGCCACTTTCATGTATTAAAATGAGAATAAATGGATAGAATTGTATGTATCATTAAGGTACAGAAAGTGTGTCCGCCAGACAAATAGGTCATTCTCTTTGCAATTTCCCTTTGATATCAATGAAAAATGATCTTTTGTATCAAAAGATCCAAACAAACAACACAGCTACATTACTTCCCACCTACAGATCAAAAGTAATGCACAGGCATCACCTTTAGGACCAATAATACCCATAGTGATATTCTTGGGTGACAGCAGACCTTCTTCTGGGTACGGAATTCCATGAATAATAATAGATTTCACTTCACAATGTCAGTGGTAAGATCAGTTTACAGCAAAATATGAAAGTGTGTGATAGAAATCTTGAAATTTTTCCAGTGGCTTAGAATGAGCCGTAAAACATTGTGGAGAAACCTTTTGTCACATTTCCTTACACATCATCTGATGTCCCCTCCGTCCTCTGTGTGGGCTTCTGGCCTCCTGTGGCCACAGTCATTCAGTGCACCAGGGCACAGGAGAGCACTCAAGTTGGGAAAGGGTGTGGATGACAGTGTGGTGTGGGTGTGTGGGTGTGGGCCAAGCTGTAGGTGTGGGCATGGGTGATGGTGTGGGTGTGGATGTGAGTGTGGGTGACGGTGCAGGCATGGGCATGAGTGTGGATGTGGGTGTGGGTGATGGTGTAGGCGTGGTCATGGGTGTGGGTGATGGTGAGAGTGTGGGTGATGATGTGGGTGTGGGTGATGGCATGGGTGTGGGCGAGGCTGTAGGTGTGGGCATGGGTGACAGTGTAGGCATGGGCGACAGTGTAGGCATGGGCATGGGTGTGGGTGATGGTGTGGGTGTGGGCCAGGCTGTAGGTGTGGGCATGGGTGACGGTGTTGCTGTAGGTGATAGTGTGGGTGTGGGTGAGGCTGTAGGTGTGGGCATGGGTGACGGTGTAGGCATGGGCATGGGTGTGGGTGATGGCGTGGGTGTGGGCGAGGCTGTAGGTGTGGGCATGGGTGATGGTGTAGGCGTGGGCATGGGTGTGGGTGTCAGTGATAGTGCAGCCATCCCCACACCTAAGGGCTGAGGCAGGTCACCCTGTGCTGATGGGGTTGTGATTCCCTCTCAGGCGCCCTCAGCGTTGCTCTGGGGATCACTGAACGAGTCGTTTGTCTCCATCCTGTGTGTCTCCCACAATGCACACCTAATGTTCTCCGCCATTCAGAAGGATCTGGGGGTATTGGCAGCCACACGCCCCTCACTGCATCTGAAATCCACCGTGGTATCTGGGGACCCACGATGAACCACAAGAGGATACCCTGAGCCTGTTTACTGGGCAGAACCCCCACCCCACCTGCCTCAGTGCCCTGACAGCACCGACCACTCATCAGGCTCCGGGCGCCCCAGCAGAGAAAGCTGTGGGCCAAGCCCCTGCTCAGAAGCCCCTCTTCCTGGGCCAATGGTCTGTGACCATCTTGTCTCCCCCGACAAATCAGGCCCTCCCAGAGGGCAGGAACCAGGCCCTCCCTGTGGCACTTAGAACTGTGTCCTCACATCTCAGGGGCTCAGCAAACACGACTGACTTGATAATTACATGACCACTTAAGAGCCCATGGGTGCTGCCTGGTGGCTAAGACCAGCCCAGAGGAAACGGCCTGATGTGCAGCCAGGCCCACTGGGGGTCCAGGCCATGAGAGGACGCTCTAGAGTCCCATGTCCCTGAGGCACCTCAGTCCGCCCAGGGCCTCGTGCTGATGCAAAGGGGCTGGGGAAGCAGGGAGGTGAGAGAATGGGAGGCAGGGACAGAGCCCAGCATGGGGCCCGGCTGCCTGCACCTGAGTGCTGGGGCCAGGGACAGACACACCCAGGTGTCCTTGGCCTCCTCTGTGACCTCAGAGCCAGTGGGTGCTTGGAGGACAGGGACCCCGGGGGGTGGCACCAGCCACACGCACCCAGGGAAAGCACGACCCTGCAGACACCTTTTCAGACTCTGGCCTCCAGAACTGGGGGAACATCCCTGTTTCAAGCCACCCCACTGTGGTTGTCCCACAGCAGCCCTAGGAGGCTGGCACTGGCAGGTGAGAGAAATCACCTATCCGGTCTTCAGGAAATCAGAGAACAGATAAAGTCACAGTAAACTCGATTCCTAAAATCCTACCACCACCATAGCCCTGGGAAGATGGGATGGAACTGCAGAAAGTGGTAGTCACAGGTCAATAAGAATTGACCTGCAAAGCCACAAGGTAAGGTTAGGAGTGCCCTGGAGACCAAACCCTGCCCCTGCATGGGAAGAGGGTCGGACACCGCAGGCCTAACAGTCCCATCCTGAAGGCCTGTGGACGCGGCCTGTTTTTCCAGCTCTATGGAGCCAGGCTAGACTCTCACCAACAGCCAAACCCCAGGCTCCTAAAAGAATGAGGAAAACTGCAGAGGTGCTTTTAGCTTTTGTCTCTAAGATTAATCAAACATTGAGCGGCATATAAAAAATCTAAATCTCCTGGAACTAATGTTCCTTCAGATATGGTTTCTAATTTTAAGTACCTGAGCTTGATTATTGATCACAATGTGTCTTTAAATGAACAGATTAAAACTTTCTCCATGAAAATGAACCATAAGAAATTACAGCTGCTCTCTGGGGAATACGGCACTGGCTGATTTCTAAACCTAAATTTTAGCCTGTGCAGAGTGCCGTCTCCCCCCACCTAGAGATCAGCTGCTCAATGTTCCCTCAACAACAGCTTCTCGTGCCTCCTCTTGGCCACGCAGCCCACCTGGGAACAATTCTGACGCCTTCCTCCATGATTTGTTGACTCCACTGAGGTCAAATGAGTGATGTTCATTGTTCTAATCTCAGAGTGTAGGTCCTTCCTAACAGAACTGCTTTTAAACACCGAACCCCAAGTTCCCCCAGTCTGGTTTAAAAATATTTTTACTCCTTTTAAAAGAGTAAAATTGTACAGATTGAGATGAAGTCTTGCTCTTGTCACCCAGGCTAGAGTGCATGGCGTGATCCCGGCTCACTGCAGCCTCTGCCTCCCAGGTTCAAGCAATTCTCTGCCTTAGCCTCCCGAGTAGCTGGGATTACAGGCGTACACCACCATTCCCGGCTAATTTTTGTATTTTTAGTAGAGACAGGGTTTCGCCACGTTGGCCAGGCTGGTCTCAAACTCCTGACCTCAAGTGATCCACCCGCCTCAGCCTCCCAAAGTGCTGGGATTACAGGGGTGAGCCACCGCGCCCGGCCTTAAGTGACATAACACCTCTAGTGAGGAAAGAAGCAGTGATCAATTCACTAACACTTATCAAATATAAAAAGTAATAATGAAACAATCAGCAGCCCCGCTGCCTTCGCGGCTCTGCCCTCCTGCACCAGCACCACCGACCTCGGCCACAGCTCCTGAGACCAGAGCCCAGTTCCTGGGGGGACCCGGCCCAGATGCTGTGGAGACGGCAGAGGGTGACAAGCGCACCATCTGCAAGGTAAGAACTGGAACTCCAGTCAGGAGGACAAGAGAAAACACGAGGCCGGGCTGAGTGGGGACCTGGGATGCTCAGCAACGACGCAGACAGTGTGGACGCCACCAACCCAATACAGAGACGCAGAGACGGAGGCGCAGGGCTGAGGTACCTGAGTCACAAGGCGTCATCTCATGGGCGCCATCTTCACAGAAAGAACCAAAGGTCCCCGGGCTGAGTGAAAAGTGTCCTCTGTCCCCAGAACCAAGAGGCCCACAAGGGGCCACCGCAGTTCTCTCAGACCGCACAGGCACGAGGAGGAGACCCCGCAGTTCTCTCAGACCACACAGGCACGAGGAGGAGACCCCGCAGTTCTCTCAGACGCACAGGCACGAGGAGGAGACGCCCCAGTTGGAGGAGACGCCCCAGTTCTCTCAGACCACACAGGCACGAGGAGGAGACGTCCCAGTTCAAGGAGACGCCCCAGTTCTCTCAGACGCACAGGCACAAGGAGGAGACGCCGCATGTCCCAGAAACCATCCTCCCAGTGGGAGAGCGTGGCCCCCGCGCAGGTAGCCGGCTTAAGGAGGAATCGTTAGGACCCGGGAATGGAGAGACGCACCTGGGGATCATCCTCTTCACTCTCGTGCGAAGGAATTTTACATTTTACCAGCGTGTTGCAGGGTAGACTTGGCCAGAGAAATATCAAGAGAAAGGGAGTTTTTGAGACGGGTTTTTCAGAAGAGAAATGAGATATGTGTGGCCTGGAAGTAATTTACTGAAAATAATCGGAAGCGGCTGAATATCCCACCCACCCCACCTGAGCCCAGCTGCCCCGTGAACCACCTGACCCCAGCGGGCTGCCCCGTGACACCCACCTGACCCCAACGGGCTGCCCCGTGACCCCACCTGACCCCAGCGGGCTGCCCCGTGACCTCCACCTGACCCCAGTGGGCTGCCCCATGACCCCACCTGGCCGCAGCGGGCTGCCCCATGCCCCCAGATGTCTCACGTCCCAAACGTCAGCAGTCAGGATGGCATCTACCCAGTCTCGGTCCATCCCGGCCACCACGCAGAACACGCTGGCCCACGACAGGAATCCGCTCCTCTTGGCGCTGGAGGCTGGAAGCCAAGGTCTCTGCTCCAGCAGTTTCCGCGTCTGGTGAGGCTGTGCTTCCCAGGTGGTAACGGCACCCTGTGCCGCGTCCTCCCATGGTGGAAGGGGCTGGGGAGCACTCTGGGAGGTGAGGATTCCATGTGAATTTTTGGGAACACAAGCATTCGGACCGCAGAGCCTGGGGGTGTGCACTGGGCTCCCTTCCCCTTGGCCTGACCTGTGTGAGCTCCTGGGGAAGCTGTGGGCAACCCAGAGACCCCTCAGGCTGTGCCACGGGCTCCCGTGAGTTGTCTCCCTCAGGCTGTGCCACGGGCTCCAGTGAGTTGTCTCCCTCAGGCTGTGCCACGGGCTCCCGTGAGTTGTCTCCCTCAGGCTGTGCCACGGGCTCCAGTGAGTTGTCTCCTGCTGTGAAGCAAAGCACCTCAGAACCCTAGGGCCACCTAAAACCTGTTGTTTTAGGTGGCCCTAAAACAACAAGGCCCTCGTGTACTCCCAAGCCCTCCCTTTGAGCTCGGGGGTTGGCTCACTTCATCTCCACGTGGCGCCAGCCGAGGCAGCCCCCGGGCAGCAGGGACCCCTTTCCTGGCAGATCAGCTGGGGCGGTTGGAGGCCCTGGATCCACTTCACGGACTCAGGAGTCTCTGCAGAATGGCGGCCGGGACCTAAGGGAGAACCCAGGAGGTCAGGGGACCCAGTCCCAGGTGGCATCATCCCAGCACCTCAGGCTGAGGCATCCCAAGCTGCAGAGGCTCAAGGCAGGTGCAGGCCCACCCTGTGGATGTCACAGTCACGTTGAGGAAATGCCTGTTGGGTGGGGTCACTGAGAGCCTAGCTGGTTTGTTTCCACCTTTGAACACAACACAGCTGCTGGCGAAGGGACGAACTGTCCATCAGCTTCCTCCTACGCATCAGTCACCTCCATCTGCACACCAGACCCGTGCTCAGCAATGCCAGGAGATTTAAACCACAGGCACCTGAGGGCCAGGCAGGGGCAGCCCGGCAGGAGGCAGTCACGATGGTGCTGGACACAGGAGGGGACCTTGGAGGGGACAGCTTGAAAGCCCTGTGGTTTTAGAGCAGTCACAAGCGTCCTACACAATGTGACGGGTGAGGCCGGCAGGAGCCAGTGAGGGGCGGAGCGTCCACGCGACAGAAGGTGCAGGTGGGGCAGCTGTGGCCTCCTGGCCCTGAGGGTGTCCCAGCAAGCCAGGCCCGCTTCAGAGGCACGAGAGCTGTGGGACCCATGGTCAGGCAGGCCAGGGTGTCAATAATGCACCATCATTTATGTAACCAGTTCCCTGTTAAGACGCACTCAGGTGATTTCCCATTTCTGCTTTGCCGTGCTTTGTCTGCTTTGCAATTACAAACAGCCCCTTCAAGACTGGCCCCATCCATATATCAGGCGTTCCATTGAGAATGCAGATGCTGGGTGAATTCCTAGCAGGTGTGTTATTGAGTCAAAAGGCTGTTGGCTTCTATTTCACCTTGAAAGGCCCCCAGAATAGGTCTGAGTGGCCTGGAAATGGGGTGGGGCCTGTATGCAGAGACGTCTCAGACTTATTACCTGTCTTGTCAAAAGGTGGGAGGAAGAAGGTGTGAGACAGGGTTTGGAGGTAGGGTGTGGAGGAAGGGAAATGTCACCCCCAGACTGGCCAGAGATTCAACTGTCCC
Organism: Homo sapiens; assembly: GCF_000001405.40. Classification (NCBI taxonomy): domain Eukaryota; kingdom Metazoa; phylum Chordata; class Mammalia; order Primates; family Hominidae; genus Homo; species Homo sapiens. Next base: position 1,204,064 of record NC_000010.11, on the reverse strand, counting down.
CTGTGCTCTTCCAATGCCGTGAAAGGTAGATACAGTTACTGTGACCCCAGAACCAACACGGAGACGGTGGTTCTCGAACTGAGCAGCCTCAGAGCCACCTGGAGCCTCCTTAGAACTTGCACTGCCGGGCCTCACCCCAGAGTTCAAGAGCCAGCAGCTCCGGGGTGCAGCCAGGAATCTGCATTTCTATCAACTTCTCAGGTGATGCTCCATGGCTGGCCCAGACATCCCACTTTGAGGTCCACTGAGAAGACAGTCGCTCAGAGCAGCAAGAGAACGGTCAAGGGAGGCCCCACTGACCAGCATCACGACCTAACTGGTACCTGACTGTGTTGGCTCCAAATGTGCCGCTTTGCTGCAGAAGTCTTCAACCCTGGCTCACAGGAGAATCACGTGGGCGGCACCGAGAAAGCTGATGGCCGCACTGACTCCCCAGTCACACCAAAATCCTTGGGGGAGCCAGACCTCTGGAGATCCTCAAAGCTCCCAGATGATCCCAGCAGCAGGCCTGACAGCCAGCCCTGCAGAGCTGCAGACGCCGGGACGGGTGGCAGCTGAGGACTTTGCTGCAGGCTTCATGTAACTTTAGAGAGTTACTTCTCCTCACAGGGCCGCGTCACGGCGGAAAACCAAAGCGTCCAAAACAGGCAAGGGCGGTCCTGTTCCCTGCCTGATGCCGGCGCACCTGCAGGGACAGCCTGAGGTGTCGTCAACCCACCGGAGACCTGTCTTTCCTTCCATTGTGGCCTGGAGGCTGCAGCCTGGACTCAGTGAGCAGGTTGCATCTCCTGGCTAAAGAATGGCAGCCTTTTTCCAAGACCTTCCCCACTTATCTGTGGTATTTCAATGACTGACAAAGAGACAAAAATATATTTATTTAGGGATTATCTATATTGAAAACTAGACATGGGTTTTTTTTCTGTCAACATTGCAGTAATATCAGCTGTTTGAACAAAAGGAGAGGCATTTTTCCATTCAATCCTGAATGCTGAAAATTCTCCAGCTCATATTCAGAAAGACATTTGGTTTTATTGATCATCTTAGCAGAGTAAGTTTAATCTCTGGTAGCCAGGCAAAGAGAAGGTTGATTTCCTCTTTATTGTAAAGGTTATTAGGTAGGAACCAGATAGAGAAGTTATTTGTCTTCCGACGGTCCTGCAGCATCACAGCCACTCACATACGTTCCGGAAGTTTTGTTCAAAGCCCGTGCTCTGACGGCCTCTAACACGGAGGCGTCTCTTCCAGGAATCCCAATTTTACTTTTTAACTCGTGGCTTATTTCACGAAGGTGCTTTGTTACAGATGGCGGAAATGTACCTTTCCCTGCTTTATAAGACATTTTAAGACGCACTAACAGTCTGAGAATTAACAGGCCCACTGGGACCACAGTACCCGGAGCCCTGGGCCCTGCACGGGGTCCTTTCCTGGGCCTTGTTTTCTGGCATCTCCAAATCTGAGAACGGGCATCTTACGTCCCGAGGAGGGCCACACTGCTGAATTTCCTCCCAGCCTTTGGTCTGTCCTCTGGTCTCAGAGTCAAGGGAAGAAGCCAAATCCCTCAACCGCTCCTCAAAAATGTCAGCCTTGGCCGGACACGGTGACTCACACCTGTGGTTCCAGCACGGTGGGAGGCCAAGTTCAGTGGATGGCTTGAGCCCAGGAGTTCGAGACCAGCCTGGGCAACATAGGAAGACTCTGCCTCTATGAAAAAATACAAAATAATTAGGCTGCGGTGAGCTATGGCTGCACCACTTGCACCACCATACTCCAGCCTGGGTGACAGAGTGAGACCCTGTCTAAAAAAAACACACACACACACAAAGACCAGGTGCAGTGGCTCACACTTGTAATCCCAGCACTTAAGGAGGCTGAGGTGGGAGGATCGCTTGAGCCCAGGAGTTCAAGACCAACCTGGGCAATATGGCAAAACCATGTCTCTATTGAAAAAAAAACAAAACAAACAAACAGAAAACACTTCCCATTGTTCCCTGAAGGAAAAGCTCAGTTACAAAAAATCTCCTTTCCCAGGATTTGTTGCCATTCTCTGACTTATCGGTGAACATCAAGGAAAAGATTGACTCTGAAGAGCCACCATCCAAGATCCAGGGAGACACACTGTGGAATCTGTGGAATGAAGGTCCTCGGTGACAGGCGCTGTGTGTCCTCCCACCATCCGAGATCCAGGCAGACACGCTGTGGAATGAAGGGTCCTCAGTGACAGGCGCTGTGTGTCCTCCCACCATCCGAGATCCAGGCAGACACGCTGTGGAATGAAGGTCCTCAGTGACAGGCGCTGTGTGTCCTCCCACCATCCGAGATCCAGGCAGACACGCTGTGGAATGAAGGTCCTCGGTGACAGGCGCTGTGTGTCCTCCGACCATCCGACATCCAGGCAGACATGCTGTGGAATGAAGGTCCTCAGTGACAGGTGCTCTGTGGCTTACGACCATCCGAGATCCAGGCAGACACTCTGTGGAATGAAGGTCCTCGGTGACAGGCGCTCTGTGGCCTCCATCTCATCCTACCCTTCAGAGCGCCCGACCTCACCCCTCTGGTAGAAGCTCGCACATCCAGTGGCCAGCCCTTCCCTTGCTTTCTGGGAGAAGCACCGTGACTTGTAGAAATGACCACAATATTTTTTTAAATGAAGTTATGCAAATCTGATAGACTGAAGTAAATGTTTCATAAAATCAATGACTGTTTAAATTGTAGGACTAAATTGTTTGTATATAAATATTACCTTTTATATTCCATTTGAGTTTTATGTAGATGAGCACATTACTTTAATGACCTGCATTTGCAGAGGGAGAGAGGGAGAGCGGCTCCCCGAAACCCCCACCAGCCAGATGGCTGCCTTTTCTTGCATGAGATTAAAAGATGTTTCTCATTCATGGAGATGCTTCTGAGGCAAATTAATATCGCTGGCTAAATTGCTTGTGTTTTTGGAATAAAATTTAAAGAGAACTTTTTAAAGCAATTGGTATCACGGGTTCTCGGAGAAGATTACTCTCCAGGTAGATTCGGTAATTAATGGAAAGAATCCTGTGTTAATTGACTGCTTCGGGAAGGGAAATGTAATGACTCCTTATTAATCATGAAAAGAGACGCTGCATGCGGGGATGGCAGTAATTGCTCTAACAGTGGAGAAATGTTAATTAATGAAAAGAACAATGATGTAAGAAATTAGCTACGTAACGCTTGCTGCTGAAGGAGGTAGGATTTTAAGCACATTATTTAGAGTGGAAACCATAGAATGTTGCTTCAAAAAACACACACATGGAACCTCTTGCCACCCAAATTTAAGGGGAAAAAATGTCAGTGCTCTTGGCATTTTTGCTTGAGGAAGCAAAAACATTCACCCAGAGCTATATTTATTTCAAACAAAATGGCCTTGTTGTTCATCTCCAATCTGGGCTTCTGAAACCAAAATCATGCCCAGACCAAAACAAGGTCATTTGTTAATGTAATTTCAACACAATAGGTCATTTTGACTGCTAAGGACAAAGGGAGTACTAAGTATTTTTCCCTAAACTAAAATAAACAAATTCCATTTATAGTATTTCCCAGCTAATATAAAGAAAAATTCAGATTCACTTTTGGGACAGAGTATCTTTTTAAAAAAATCTAATTCTAAGTCCCACAGAGAACATAACAGTTTCCACTCTAACGACTCATTTTCAGAAAAGAGAGCAGCATTTGTTAGCACACATGGGCCTGTGGAGCCCAGTCCCAGGCAACAGTGTCCCCAGAGCCCCAGTGATGGCTGGGTTGGGTCTGGGGCACTCCCAGGGAGCTCCCCAAGGTCCGCACGATGGGAAGACTGACAGGTCCTCAGGACCAGGCCGCAGACGGACAGAGAGGACCAGGCTCCCTGGGCTCCTGGGTGGGGCTCCGCTGACTGCTGGCTCTCCCCACAGGTGGAACGTCCTGGGGCTGCAGGGCGCGCTCCTGTCCCACTTCGTGGAGCCCGTGTACCTGCAGAGCATCGTGGTGGGCAGCCTGCACCACACGGGCCACCTCGCACGCGTCATGAGCCACCGCATGGAGGGTGTCGGCCAGCTGCCCGCCTCCTACCGGCACAACCGGCCTCTCCTCAGCGGTAAGAACCCCCTTCCCGGGGGCCCTCCACCTCCTTCCCACCACCAGGCCAGACACAGGTGTGCCCGGCGGTGCCATCCCTCGCAGACTTCATCCATGTTGGCTAGTGGCAATTTAGGATTTAATGGGCAAAGTCCTACGATTTTAAAAAGAAAAAATGAAAGGTTTCAGCATCTCTCTGCATATAGCAATAGGCCAGGTCCTGATGTGAATTCGTGATTGTGTGATGGTGCTGTTTTCACAGCGGTGTCTGAAGGAGTTCTGAAAACAGAATCACTAGTGTTGGGCTCACCCAAGAGGCCCCACCTGCCCACCTGGCCGCCCACCTGCCCACCTGCCCACCTGGCCGCCCACAGGAGGCGATGCTGAGGAAGAGCCAGGTGGGCGAGGAGGGGCGGGGGGCGCCAAGGTCACGTGGCCAGAGCGGGTCTTCGGAACCCAGGGCCCCGGGCCCTCCACACCCTCCAGAGGCTGCCAGGTTACTCCGCGAGTACTGGGCCGGCTTCGCACCAGGATTCCCCACAGCCCAGATGTCCTCAGAGACCCGAGCCTCCCCAAGCCTCTACTTCCCCACGTTACCTGGGGCCTGCCCGGGCTGCCTGGCACACAGCCAGCTGCAAGGATGAAGAGTCCCTTGGCAGCTGCGAGGTGCCCTAGAAAGCCCCGGGAGTGGTCTTGGGAGGGTTTTGTGAAGGACACACTGACAGGAGGCGACTCCTGGCCTTTCACAGGAACAGCGGGAAGCGGGGGGGTGGGTTTCCGAATCACCGCCAGCCTCATGCTGGGCCTGCAGAACACCAGGTCTTTGAGTCAGCCTCCCTTGCTGGAGTGGGAGAGCTCTCTGAAGGGCCTGCCTGTGGCAGAATCAGGCAGATATGTGGGGGAAACGGAGAAAACCTCTGCCCCAGAAAGGAGAGGATTTTCACCTGTTTGCCAAGTGGCTCCTGCACTCTTTTTCTGCGCGTTTTCCTTAGGCCATCCCCGCTCTTTGTCCAGCACCTACTGAAGGGCTTATTTAAGCTTGCGCAGCACAAGGAAATATGGAGTACAAATGCAACCACGCCCTCCCCAAGCCACCGTCAACGGAGCAGGTTTTGCCCTCCCTGGGCACTGGCATGTCACCCTCAGCAGCCAGTCTCCCAGTGCTGATTTTCAATCATGTGTCCATCTGGGAACATGTCAACATAAATAAAAACAGGAATGTCCAATCCTAAGTGTGAACACAGTGAATTTTAGAAAACGCAATTAGAGAAATTCAGATCCACCTGACATCATTGAGTGGCACAGATAATAGCCAAGCCCGAGAGACACCTGTCTGCTTCCGATCCCAGGTGGCACCTGCCACACCACGGCCGGTGCAGCCTGACTAAATATTTCAGCCTCCATTTACATGCTTATTGGGAATCTGGTTTTCATTATTTTGCAGATGCAAATGAGCCTAAATCTTGGTACCTTGCCTGCATGCAACCCCTAAGCTGTCCCTGCATTGTTCCTGATGGACATTTAAAAACCAATCATGCAAATTTTGAAAAGAAATCATCAGAATTTCTTGCACCAAAAGAAAGAGAGAGAGAGATCTTGCACAGGGATAATAATAAAAAGCACCCTCAAATAAGCAAATGAAGTTTGCTTGAAGCTTCCCTCAAGGTCAGTTTGCAGAACTGCCTTAGAAGATGAAGATTATGTATTAGCAGAATGAGGCCCAGCAATTTAGATATGGCTAAATCAGCTCTGAGTTAAAAAGAAGCAACCAAGCTGAAAAAGATACCCTTACTCACACAGTCACGGGATGCATAGTAATGTTCTTGAAGGATATACTTGAAAAATTCTGCACTTTCCAGTCTAAATCTATGGCAAAACTTCAGGACCAGAAGCCCATTTCGAGGATGTCTCAAACGCTGAATCCTTCAGCAAAAGTTGCATTATTTCCTGAGTACAGATAGCCTAAAGGAGTTTGCCCTTGGTCCTTCTCAGTGAATTCAGTAAGATGAACAAAATGATGGGGATAGTAATTAATAAAACTCTATGCTTTGAATAATCATCCTTTTAGGAAAAAGTGAGATGAAATAGCCACTTTGACAGGCTGTTCCACCAAGCTGAGGATATATGCTTCTCTGAGCTTTCAACATCAAGGCTAAATTTTTATTTCTCTTCATCAAGAAAAAAAGAAATCTGGGTAGGATAAATTCGCTGTTTGTGTTAACAGCATGTTAAACAGATATGTTGTCAATGATTAATTTCTTAGTCCACACTGAAGATAAAACTGTGATTATTTTTACAGCCCACCTCAAGGTCTTGGCAACGAACATGAAATCTGAGAGATGGACCCAGAGAATTGATTGTTAGAACCATGACTTGTTTAAGACTCTTGGTTTATGTTCACGTGATGAACATTGCAGTGCTGGTGATAAAATAGAGGAGAGCACGGGCTGTCTTCCTCCACAGCACACAATTTCCTGGAGTGTGAAAAGGGCCAGCTGGGGCGTCTGAAGCCCTTTCAGGCATCCATGTTTCACAGCAAAACCATTTGTCAGAAAAGAAGTTAGATACGTACTGAAATGTGAAGTCACATATGTACTGAAATGTGTACCAATACTAATAGCTTCTGAAATTTCCCAATGCCACCTATTTTTGGCATTCAAAGTCTCTCTCTGTTGCCATTTATGTCCATTTTTTTTATGAGTCCAGATTTTCAAAATGTTGTCACACTAAGTTGAGGAAAATTCTATGGAGTATCAGACCTCTTTAATTCAGGAGAAATTTCTGAAATTAATGATAATTAAGAGTATTTTGCAAAATAACATAGTGAAGCAGTAGCAAATATTTTATCCAGATGGTAAGTGATTTGCAATATTATTTTTACATTAAACAGAGGTCTATTTTGGAGTAACCTACAAAATTTTTACAAATGTTTAGTAATAAACACATAAGCATTACAGAAATATTTTAGCAGCCTGCTGTTTCTTACAGTCACTAGAGCTAGAAATTTATCTTCCCATGCCCTTGCAGGAATTTTTGGTGGAAAAAATTATAAATCTTGCTAGAACAATCTAAAAGGCAGTCTTAGCTAAGCGTGGTGGCTCATGCCTGTAATCCGAGCACTTTGGAAGGCTGAGGTGGGAGGATCACTTGAGGCCAGGAGTTTGAGACCAGCCTGGCCAACATAGCCAGACCCCATGTCTACAGAAAGAAAAAAGAAAGAAAGAAAAGAAATCCTAATATCTTTTCATGAAAACTAAAAAAGTTAAATTCAACAAAGAACTACTTAATAAGACATTTTTATAGATTAGCACAGAACTTTCTAGGCAAATTAGATGGCACATAGCTTATGATAAATATAAAATTATTGAAAAACTTTGTTTTCATTTTCTGGAGAATCCTTTTAAAAATATTTTGTATAATAATTAATTTTCATTTAATTTCCACCATGATCTTAAGGAATTGTTTCCCAGTAGAATTTAAGCAACGAACTTAATTACATTGCTCCTGAGAATTGTATCATTAACTCCAGGAAAATACTTCCATTGTCAATACATTAAATGTATCCAACATCGAGAAATTGATCAGCATAATCCAGGCATTTGCTTAATCATTCAGCAAATGTGTATTGATGATTTACAAAGTGCCGGGCACAATCCTACATTGAGAATAGAGCAGTGAACAAAATAGTCAAAAATCCATACCTCAGGGTGATTGCATTCCAGTAGGGGAGACGGACAAACAAAATATGAGTGCTTTGTCAAAAAAAAAAAAAAAAAAAGGCAAAAGAAGGATTAAAAAGTGACCCTCAGCCCTAATAAAAGGATCAGGAGCACTCTCAGTGTGGCGGTGACACTGCGCAGAGTCCTAGAGGAATGAGGGAATGGAGCTGGGAGAAGGGCTCCCACAGGGTTTTGGGAAACAGGCAGGGTTGGGCTGAGAGTGTGAGGTAAGCGGACGGGAGAGAGAGGCACTCTGGAAAGGCTGCAGCGGGCTTCCTCTCCCTTCTCACCAAGGGAAGATTCCAGCTGGTTTCAGGCTGCTGTTTGGTTCCCCAGACCTGAAACAATCACATGGGCCTCGATTCAGTGGGGTTACGAAGGTGGTCACAGGGCTAACGGGAAAAGCACAGACTAGGACGGTGCCATAAAAGCCAACTGGCCCCCACCATCATCTTAGGATGCCAGACTCTCCCCACTGTGCTTTGCTGGCTCGGGGGCTAGAAAGCCTCACCCTGCTGCAGTGAGCCATACCTCCCTTCAGAAGCCTCGGGCTAAGAGCACCATCCCTCTTCTTCTGAACCAGGATCAGCCTCTCCATGGATTCAGAAGCCTCAGGCTGATAGCACCATCCCAATTCTTCTGAACCAGGATCAGCCTCTCCATGGACATCCCTCATTGCTCACAGCCACACCCCTGGAGTCAAAACTCTGAGCTTTCTCTGGCATGAAAACCTTTCAACGTCGTCTCTGCCTAGATGTGCTCTCCCACCCAGGCCTGCAAAACTCTGCCATTCTGAGAGAGAAATGTTTGCCAGTCATAAAACTTAACAAGGGACTAAAGACCCTTATCTTAAAAAAAAAAAAAACAAAAAAAAAACTGTGTACAGCATTGACAGATACTGAATGATGGTTCCCTGAAGGTTCTGTAAAGCTGGAGAATCCCACTCCCCATGGGACTGCACCACAAACCCTGAGGATGGTGGGAGATGTTGGCAGGGGCACCTGCAATTCTCCTTGGTGGCACCAAGGAGAGTGCCACAAGAGTGAACAGGAGAGGGAAGAGTTGCCAAGCCAGGACCTGGGGAAGGACAGGGATGGGAGGGGAGATTTTCCTGTAAGAGTCCCTGAGAAGCTGAAGGGCTGAGAGGTGCTTCAGCACCCACGGGAGGCTAAGGGGGCGGGTCGGCCTGCCTCCCAGGGCCAAGGTGGGCTCAAGGCAAACAGCCCCTTACAGTGTTTATAGCTTGAAATGGTCTCCACTCCTGACTTAAATTAAGATGGTCCTCTTACTCATTAGATCAAAATAACTCTACAAAAAATTATAAATAGAATATTGCCACACACAAAAAACAAGCAGACACAGGAGATAAAACCCAAATGCAGAAGAAACAACAGGCAGCAGGACAGACACTCCAGTTGGAGTTTCAGACACAGACCCTAATATGACCACGCTCAATAGGAGAAAGGACATTTTCTAAAGCAAGATGGAACACTTAGGGGGAGAGATGAAAGCTCAGAAAAAAACAGAACCAAATAGGAATTTCAGAAATACAGAAAATAAAATAATTTGTTTAACAGAGGATGGTTCAATACCAAATAAACACAGCACATGAGAGAATTAATAAATGGGAGCACAGTTCTGAAGAAAACATCCAGAATGCAGCACAGAAGGCAGAAATGATATATGGAGGATGGATGAATAGATAGATGATAGACTGACAGACAGACAGATAGATAGATTAGATAGATAGATAATAGATAGATGATAGATGATAGATAGATGACAGATAGAGATTGATAGATATTTATTTTAAGAAATCAGCTCATGCAATCGTGTAGGCTGGCAAGTCTAAAATGCACAGGGCAGGCCGGCAAGCTGGAAGTTTCAGCAGGAGTGGCAGTGGCACGTCTAGAGTCCACAAGCCATGTGGAGGCACAATTTATTTCTCTTCACAGAACCTGAGTCTTTGCTCTTCAGGCCTTCAGCAGATTGGACGAAGCCCAGCCATGTTGCAGAGCATAACCTGCTCTATTCAAAGTCGAATGAGTTAAATGTTAATCGCGTTGAATGTGCCTTCCCAGCAATACCTGGGACTGCTGGTTAATCTCGCAGTTAATCTAGTTGGGTGCTACAGCCTAGCCAAGGGGACACATAAAATGAACCATCACACACAGAAAGTACAAAAGAGAGTGAAGAGAGCAGGAAAGTCTGAATGCATGTAATAAGAGTTCCAGAAAAAGTAATGGAACAGGAGAGATATTTAAAGAGATCACAACTAAGAATTTCCAAGACAAACAAAAAGCATCCAAATGCAGATTTGAAAAGCACATTGTACCCCAAGAATAACTTTTTTTAATTCTCATCTCAGTGGTTAAATTGCTGAAAAACAGAGACCAAAAAAATCTTAAAAGCAGTCAGGAAATGAAAGACAAACTCACTTCAAAGGAGCTAAATCAGACTGGTAACTGATTCTCAGAAGACAAAAAAACAATGAAATGGCATCTTTAAAATGCTGATAGAAAAACAATCTCAACTTACGATCTGATATCAAGAAAAAGCATCCTTCAAAAACGAAGGTGAGACAGCGTTTGCAGACAAACACTGACAGAGTCTAACTATGGTGGACTCACTCTCCAGAAAACACTCCATGTGTTATCTGGGCTTAAGAAAAACAATCTCAAATGAGTAATGCCGACTGAAGAGCAATGAAAACCAGCCACACTTTTATCCAGTTTGAAACCTGGCATATTACTACATTTTGAGTACTAGGGCACAAAAATACATAATTTGGAACAGCAAAAGACCCCATTCCCCCAAAGTCCCTTTGTCCCATATCTTTTGAAATAATGACAATCCTTACAGAAGCCAAAAGTCATGTCATTATCAGGCTGAAAAATGAAAAATGCAGATTCTTTCCTCTGCCATGGAAATTTCACATCTTCTGAAGCCTCCTGTGAGCCTCTGCACTTTAACCTCGGGGGAACCTGAGCGGTCGTCCATCCTCCCGACTCCTCGGTGGTCTCTTAGGAATAAAGTTCCTGGAGATCAGTGGAGGCACAAACCCTCCTGAGAGGACACCGCCCAGGCCTTGGCATCCCCGGACATCACTGCTGTCCCAGCAGAACTTGCACCCGGGACATTCACAGACGGTGCAGCCAGCGTGGCCCGTTCCACACCCTGCAGATGCCTGCCTTCCACCCTCAACACCTCCACCTCAAACCAGTCACATGAGGGAAGGCGAGGAAAAGCCACCATGGCCTCTGTGTTTTCAACATTCATATTCCCTTCTGGCTTGCAGGAATCCACAGAATTTTCTTTCTTTTGAGACGGAGTCTCGCTCTGTCACCCAGGCGGGAATGCAGTGGCGCGATCTCGGCTCACTGCAACCTCTGCCTCCCGGGTTCACGCCATTCTCCTGCCTCAGACTCCCAAGTAGCTGGGACTACAGGCACCCGCCACCAGGCTGGCTAATTTTTTTTTGTATTTTTAATAGAGACAGGATTTCACCGTGTTAGCCAGGGTGGTCATGGCTCATGATCCACCTGCCTTGGCCTCCCAAAGTGCTGGATTACAGGCGTAAGCCACCGTGCCAGGCCGAACCCACAGAAGTTTTTAGGACTATCTCACAGCAGAAAGAACCAGCTGTCCATCCTCAGTTAACCCTACCATCTCCAGCCTCCATAGTACTTTTTATGTTTCTTATAAATGTGCTGTATCAAAGCAAGACAGCAGCTATAAAATTACTGGCAATTATAAAGACATTCATATCAATGATAATGAATAAAACGGCATTAATACAGCCTTAGAAGTTAGTTACCCCAAATCCATAAGTCCACATTAAATTTACCAGCTCTTCCATTAAGGGTGTGTGGGTGTGCGTGAGAGAGAGAAAGACCCCGCAGCGTGTCTGGCCATATAGAAAACTCAGGAGATCTCTCTGATTCCTTTAGCTTTATGAATCTGTGCAGGCCCAGATGCCATGCTATTTCATTCACTCTGCAAAATTAAATGCAGTGCTACCCAGTGACACAGACTTGCCTCACTGCATGTAAAAATTATACTCCTGAGATGTCTTGTGTAAATTTAATTTTGGGAAAGTAAGTTACCTTGTAAATATAGTAGGCTCACTTTGAAGAAATGCTGTAACGTCTCACTTACATAATGCCTTTTTAAAAAGGTAAATAAGGATTTTCTTCAAGTCAGGCATCTTTTTATAGCTCCGCGAGCCACAGTAAAACTCACTTTCATAGATGAGTTGTGGATTCACCCCCACCGGTCCTAGTAATGGTGATGTAACAGCAGTGGTTGTGCTGATCACGGTGGTAGTTGAAGCAGTGCTGGTAGGAGTGGTTAATTCACTTGTCGGAAGCCACACTGCCAGTATGTCACAGAAGTGAGTCCAGCTTTGCTCTGCTGCCAGAGCCCACTGTTAACACGATTGTGTGTGTTTAGCAAAAAGGTCACACAATCTCATCAGGCTGATCTCTGTACACCAGACAACCTGGCAGAATATTCATGTCAAAGGCTCCGGGAGACCAGCTTATTCCTATACAGATCTACTCTGAAATAAGACAGCTCCCTAAAAAATGTTCTCAGAGATGAATGGCCCATATGCTGCATGGTATATTTACAAATTAATAAATGCAACACATCCCTGAGTTACGTACCAGGTTTAACAAGCGTCTGTGAGCGTGGTTCCATTACAGACGGCTCAGGGAGAAGCTGCTCAGGTAGCGAGGGCGTTATTCCCAAGGCCGCTTGGGAGCAATTACTAAAAAAACGTGGGGCCCGACCCTGCTCACCACCAGGCTACACAGTGTTTCAGGGACACCTTTTTTCCTCACCCTTCCTTGGGCTTCCTACACAGATTTTCAAATCCAAGGTCCTACCCAACGGAGGCCACCCTCACTCAGCAGGTGCACGTGCCGGGTGCCCCGTGCATCCCCAGGTTGCTCTGCACATCCAGCCAGTGGCACAGAACTGCTCTCTGGGCAGCCCTGGCCCCCCACCCTCCTGGACCGTGAGCCCCGCTGGTCCTCATCACACACAGAAGGTCCAGAGGGAAAGAAACAGATGCGGGGAGAAGTAGCCCATGAGCTGCCACCTGCAAACCCCTGTTCTACGCCGTGTGGGGCCCAGAGTGTGCAAACCCCCATTCTGCGGAGTGTGGGGCCCAGAGCGTGCAAACCCCCATTCTACTCAGTGTGGGGCCCAGAGTGTGCAAACCCCCATTCTGCAGAGTGTGGGGCCCAGAGCGTGCAAACCCCTGTTCTGCGAAGTGTGGGGCCCAGAGCGTGGGGCTGCCCCTCCTCCGGAAGAGCGCTGCTCACTCCGTCCTTAGACCAGTCCCGAAGTTCACTCCCAGTGGGCTGGATAATGGCCCCCACCGATGCCAAGTCCTAATCCCTGACCTGTAAATTACCTTGTCTGAAAAAAGGGGTCTTTGCAGATGTGAGTAAACTAAGGATCGTGAGATGGAAGATGATCTGAATTATCTCAGTGGGTCCTGCCTGCAGCCACCTCTGTCCTTAGAAGAGGGAGGCGGGGGAGATATGGCACATGCAGAGAAGCCGGTGAGGATGCAGGCAGAGATGGGAGTGAAGCCGCTACAAGCCAGGAAGCCTGGGATTGAGCAGAGGCTGGGAGAGTCAAGAAGGGGTCTCTCCAGAGCCTCTGAAGGAGGTACAGCCCTGCCCACACCTTCAGACTTCCAGCCTCCAGAGCTACGACAGGACAGATTTCTGCTCTTTTAAGCCAACACATGTAGCAATGTGTTACAGCAATCACCTAAAACAAATACAGCCTACAAAAGTACAATTTTCTGTGCATGTGGAAACCACATTAGAATACACAGTATCGTTCCTGTGTTGCCATACACCGAAGGCAGGAGGTGCATCACAGAAGTGTTCCACAGGGTTAATTTGGATTTGTTGTAGCTTCTGGATGCCAGAGGTTCACAGGAATTTTGGCCTCACAGGGCGGCCTGCAGAGTGAGAAGCGTGGGACCCCTGTGCAAGCACGTGTACGTGTTTGTCCACAGCACTGGGGTATCTGTGTGCAATTTCTTGGGAGGACGCGTTTCTCCTCGGAGCTCAGCTGCTGATGCTCATGTTTTCTGAGTTCAGACTCCTGCGTGCAATTTCTCAGGAGGACGCATTTCTCCTTGGAGCTCAGCTGGCCTGATGCTCACGTTTTCTGAGTTCAGACGACACAGGCTCTGTCCCTCAATCGCCACAGGTCTGTTGGCACCTTTCACTGCTGGAGATTCCCTGAATCCCCTCCAGGAGACATTTTGTGCTGTGAACTGGGGAAGGAGGTAGCGCCACGTGTTCGGGGGAAGGAGGTAGCGCCACGTGTTCTGGGGAAGGAGGTAGCGCCACGTGTTCTGGGGAAGGAGGTAGCGCCACGTGTTCTGGGGAAGGAGGTAGCGCCACGTGTTCTGGGGAAGGAGGTAGCGCCACGTGTTCTGGGGAAGGAGGTAGCGCCACGTGTTCTGGGGAAGGAGGTAGCGCCACGTGTTCTGGGGAAGGAGGTAGGGCCATGTGTTCTGGGTGGACTGGGTCACCAGGTATGTGCTGCTGTGTTATCTTGAGGAACAGGGTGGGACAGGCCTGAGTAGGTGCCCCTGCAGCTGCAGACACCCTCTGTCCTTGGGACTCGAGTTCCGTCTTCAATCAGCCGATGCCCACTTCAGGAGGAATGAGCCAGGAGTTAATGCATTTTCACATTTCCAGCCACAGGAGTTAAAATTAAACACAAGCCAGGCTTTCATTTCTAGGCCTGAGCACATGTGTCTTCACCTTGTCTGGCTCTATCCACAACTACCGCTAGCAATGCAATCCAGCTGAGTTAAAGTTTAGCCCTAACACCTTCAACCCTTTCGAAACCCACTTCTCCACGGCCAGGAAGGTGCTCGACAGGAACACCATGAGCAAGCAACTGGACCAGCTCCCAGAAGGCTCTGCATGTCTTTGTACGGCACCTGGGAAACTGGTGGAAAATTATAAAATCAGTGCACCATGAGAGATCATTCACACATGAGCAGAAGGCTCCTGAGAAACCAAGTGGCTCCCCCAGGCCAAAATAAATAAAACAAAGAAAGGAAGAGCCTGGAGTGACCTGATGTCCCAATGCTGGAGTGTCCTCAGGAGACATCCCAGGACAGGGAGTTACCTCCTTGAGGGTGACTCAGGCTGCGGGGAAATGGAAAGAGAGTGAAAGCGCACGAGGCCATGGCCCTTCCATGTCGGTGAGGAAGAGATGGCCCTCCTGGAGCCTGGGCACCTGGTGCGGGAGGGCTGGGCCCCAGCGTGGGAAGAGGGCCTGGCTGCTGGCCGCACTGGAGAAGGAAACTTCTGGTTCCTCAGAGCAAGCAGCCCGCTCCTGACTGCACTTCCTCTCACCATAAGGGATCTGTTCCATGGAAAGAGTCATTAACGGCAAACCTAATAGTGAGACTGACATGAGCATCCATGAGCATCCGTTTCTCTGCACATTAGACTCCAGGGATCTGGGCCGTGGTTCCCGCTCCACGGGCATGATCAGCTGCAGATATTAGTCACAGCGATGTCAGAAACTACTGCCTGTGTGAGTATTCAGGAAACATCCCAACACTATCTCTCTATGGAAGGTTTATTAAAAAAAAAAAAGACAAGAAGGTAGAAGAAAAAAAAAAAAAGGACTGCTATTCTTCCAGGCTGCCTTGGGAAGTTTTTCTTTTGCCAGCAGAACACAGAGGGGAGCAGACCCTTCCCTAGAAGCTCAAAGCGTAAGCACATGGTCCTGTCCCCTGCAGAGGACAAATAAAGGGAACAGAATGTGTTTTCCGTGAAAGGAACAAGGAACTGACCTTTGCTTGTTGGTCGGTTCCTCCGTTCCCTGGACACAATTAGGTGATTGTAACTAAGTTGGAAATGTTCCCTGTGATCTAACTAGAAACATTTTTGATCTGTGTGACTTGGAGAACACGAAACAAACTGCAGTTGGCCTTCAAATCCTCCTTCAGATGAAAACAGCAGCATTCATAGCCTGGGTGCTCCAAAAGTGCTCTTATTTGCCTGGTTTGATCTTCACATCACCTCGTGAAGTAGAGAAGTCACCTGTCACAGAGCGGTAAGTGGAGGATGACCTCGGGCCACAGAACTCAAACTGCCTGGAACTCCAGCCACCTGGTTCCTGGTCAGTGGGAGAGGCCCCTGGGGTGCATTTTCCACCTCCGGGGTCATGGACAGGCTTGGATATTGAAGATTGCTCCTGGGTTTACACCACTTTCTATGTTAAACAGTAGCCTGCGGGGCTGTTGTAGTTAGAACTGAATGATTTACAGTGTGATTTACGTCATCACAGGTGAGCTGAGATGTTATTTACAGCAGACACTGTCCTCCCTGTGCACATATGGACACATGGGACCACACCCTGGTGAGAAGAAGCCCCCATGCAAGGCTGGACGACCCCGCAGCCCACCCGCCAGCGCCTCCCTCGCTGCCCCACCAGCTCCTTCCTTCTGTCCCCGGAGTGTGGAGCAGTGCACGTGCTGGGTTCACACCCACGTCCTCACAGCTGCCTTCCCGGTGGTGTTTGGGCCTCGTCATGCCTGGCAGCCAGGAGCGTTGGGAGGAAACCCCGTCAGACGGCAGCTGGCCAAGGGCTAGCAGCAACTTGCCCACAACGTCCTCCGCAAAGAGAAAGGAGAGGGGCACAGGCCGGAGCCAGGGCATCCTGACAAGGAACCAGGAGGTCCTGTGTAGACCTCAGGCTCCCAAGGCTTTCCTCTGAGTTCAGACTTTGCAGCTTGGCACCTCAGTGGTTGGCCCTGATGGTCATGGAGACCAGAAGGATGGGAGCAGGAGGAGGAGGGGAGGCCGCCTGGCGATGGGAGCGGGAGGAGGAGGGGAGGCCGCCTGGTGACGGGAGTGGGAGGAGGAGGGGAGGCTGCCCAGTGCACGCAGATCAGGGTAGTGACTGCCTCTCCCAGTGCCCGGTCATCCCTGGCCTTGGTGGCTGGCTCCTCCTGCCCAGGCGGCCCCTGCCTAGTAGGACAGCCACAGCGGCCAACGGGCCAGATTGTCCCTCCCGGCTCTCGGGGTGGCAGCTGCCACCGTGAATCACTTGAAGGAAAAAGGAAGAGCTGACATGAACGGGATTCGCTTGGGTGTCCCACATCACCTGTCTGTGGCCAGCAGAAGCTCACCAGGTGACTTTCGAAGTGGTTGGCAAATGGGCCATGTGCTCAGTCTGTCCACAGAGCTCAGGCTCGTGGATGAAGCTGGGAGCAGCAGAGGATCTGGGGTCTGTGGCTGTGCAACTCTGTAGTCAGTGGGTCTTCCCCGAATTTAAATGAAGCCTGCTTCCAGGAAGGTGTTATGAGCTGTGCTACCACGTGACGTGGGGACAGCTTCCTCCCGGGAGTCTGCTATGGCGGGAACCCACTCGCACCAGCTCAGCCCACCAGGTCTTTGCTCTCAGACCAATGCTGACACCTGGGCCTCTCCACCAATAGCCAGTGGCTTCCCAGGGACCTGAGCAGGCACTTGGCTGGCCTATATGCAATGCCCTGGCCAAGACGCCAAGTTCTTCTCTGCAGGCACCGCCATCTCACGTGATGCATGACGGGCCCCCGAGAACTCAGGGGCCCCGCTCGCCTCCAAGCACCACAGGACAGCAGGCCAGGAAGGCAGGAAGGGCTGGAGAGGCAGAGCTGATCTGCGAGGAGGCATGAATGAGAGGGAGACACCCGGCCAGCTGGGCTTGGGGAACGCGTCAGGTAGAGGCCATGCAGGTGCCGCGGGAGGTGGGAGATTCAGGAGGCACCAATGGGACAAGGGATCTTGGGTTATAAACCAAGCGTCTCAACACCACTGCTGTGAGTGGGAGCCTGGACTCCCTGCCGACTCACTGTTGTGTGGACCATGCATCTTCCTATGAGACTCTGAGCAGAGACAGGGCCAAACAGCACGTGCCTCCCCCACCACCCATGGACGTCTGAGGGCCACGTCCACCATGCTGGGTCCATGAGGAAGCCCTGGGCATGGGAAGAAGTGGGCTTTGTCCCCAGGACGCTGCCTCTGGCGTCCCATAGCCTGTATTCCTCTGATGCCTTCCCCACCCCGAGGGTCACATTGCCAAATGCAGCCTTCAGAAGGGACTGAAAGAGACAATGAATTGGCGGGGCTCAGCTGCACCGGAATCTCATGTTTTGGAATCCTCAGGCCGTCACAGGGCAGGGTCTCGGCAGGTGCCCCCTGGAGTTTCCAGACATCTTGTGGCAGCATGTCCAGAAGCCCCAATCAGCACAGGAGCACCTCAAGGAGTCAGGGCTGGGGCCACAGTTAGAAGCCAGAAAGTGCACCACCCCCAGCTGCAAAGCAGCTGCCACCCCAGAGTGGAGACCTCCTCATCCACCCTTCTGCACTGTGAGCTGGGCTGCAAGGACTGTATGGTCCGGGTTAAAAGTCCAAGCACACAAGAGGCAACACTTTTGAAACGAGGGCTTCCCTGAAGATGCCGGCTCTCTCTGGACAGGACCAGCATCGTGGGCATGCAGCCCTGCAGCTCACACAGGCACCTGAGCTTAGACGAACCCATGCTTGGTTTAACGCCCCACTGTCATCATGAAATTCTTCGTAACTTTCGAACAAAAGGCCCCATATTTCCGCTGTGCACTGAGTCTCAAACACTCTGTAGCCAGTGCGGTTTCAGGATCACATTGCGGATCAATTGATCCTACACTCATTTCTGCCTGGTTTTTATTGTTTTGTTTTGTTTTGTTTTTCTCATCAGCTAAACTGTAAACCCGAGGGAGCCAGGGAGCTGCATGTTGCTTACTAGCCCCGGTGTTTTGCCTCCAGCAGAGCGGGGCCTGCAAAGGTGCCTGATAAACACACTCTCAGATCACTTCCACGTGGCTCTGTTCATTCATTCACTCAACTAATATTTACAGAAGGGGGGGGAATCTGGACGGAGCTATATTATCACCAGACTATTAAAATCTTCGATTAGAAGGTTGACGCAGGTGCAGCGACGCCGTGGACCCGAGGCGGCCACCACGATCCTGCCCAATTTGCAGCCTCCGCCCTGCGGGTGACACGTGAACTGGCCAGTCCTGAGGATGAAAAGGGAGGACCATTCCCACTCACATACAGGCTCCATTTCCCCGCAGCTGCCCTTGGGGGAGCCCCGTGTGAGGCCAGGAATATTAACGCCCGCCTTTCCCCATCTCCCCGACAGGCGTGAGTGACGCCGAGGCGCGCCAGCCGGGGAAGTCGCCCCCCTTCAGCATGAACTGGGTCGTGGGCAGCGCGGACCTGGAGATTATCAACGCCACCACTGGGCGGAGGAGCTGTGGGGGCCCATCCCGGCTCTGCAAGCACGTGCTGTCTGCACGGTGGGCGCGGCTGTATGGCAGGGTAGGTCGCACCCATCCTTGCAGGGAAACTGGACCCAGCCAGACCCTGGCTCCAGCCCTGAGCAAGCTCTTGGGAGAGGCCAACACTTGGTCTGCAGGGAGGGAGATGCACGACACAGCGCCCATCACATGTCCTTTTCCCAGCTGCCCAGGCCAGCAGCGTTTCCCCTGTAGGCTTGAGACCCTGCTACCCCAGGCACCGCCCCCAGACCAGGCTGGAGCTGCAGAAGCAGGAAAGGAGCTCATTGCTGAACCCCTGACGGAGCCGGCACGGCACCACCTGCTTTGTTCGGGGTGTCCCAGAAGCAGCTCCTGGGGACTTTTGAAGTCGATACTATTCCCGGTTTAGATATCAGGAAACCGACACTCAGAAAAATTGTGTAATTTCCCCAAAATTTCACAGGTAATGAATTTCAGAATTCGAATTTCTCCCCAACCCCAAAGCCCAAGCATTTCCACGACATCCACAATTAGGAGCAAATTTCTCCTTCACAAGTAGGGATAACAGCAATATTTCTGGATTTTAAATCAAAATCTGTATCTGTATGCATTTCCAAAGCATAGACTGTAACCAAAAACAACAAATAACAGAAAAACCAGCCAACACATAAAAAATGCCTCTCTCATTTTTCCACACTTTTTAATCCAAGCAGGAATAATAGTGTTGATTTGTCAACTGGTAGAGGAGGGCAGGCATACTAATGCCTAAAATAAACGTTTTAGCCAACTTAGAGGACACTCAGAATTGCACATATTAGCTCTGAGCTTGGCCGAGACGCCCAGCATCCTGCAGCTCTCAGCCTCTGTCCTGTCCGCTCAAGGGCACTGCCGGGGTCTCCCTTCTCCTGGAGACTTGGAAGGTCAGGGAAGCGTCGATGCTGTCCTGCTGAGCAAAAGGGCCCTCTCCTCTTGCACATGCTCGAGGTGACCCCCCGGTGAGTGCCTCCCTGGAAGACCCGCTGTGGGATTTGGAGCTCCCCCATGGCCCCATCCTCTTCCCTCCTGGCCTCCCTGCCCCGTGGTGGGGGTATCAGAGCTGCATTTGATCCCTGTCTTGTGTTGCTGCAAAGCTTTGCCTGGCAGACCTCAGAAAGCTAACAGAGGAAACGCCCCAGCTCCATCATCCTCCTGCTCAGCCGACAACATGACTCTCACCAGCCTGCTCCCTGCCCACTGTGATGCTGTTTTAGCTCCCACTGTCCCCCTCTGTCCCCAACCCTGCCTGGAGCCCCTGCACAGTGTTCATACTTTTAGTAGCAGTCAAGTTTATCCGCTCATTCATCATTCACACCTCAGATGAAGCGGGTTTCCTTGATGACTAGGTTTCCTGTGGAATTGCCAGAGGACCTGGTCACAGTTGCTCTCTGTAATAGTGGGAGAAAGAAAGGCAGAAGGCCAAGGCCAGGAGCTGATGCCTGGCATGTAAAACTCACCTAGCAGAAGCTCCTTTTCTGCTGGTGTCTGATTGGCTCTTTCTCCTTCTTGTCCGCAGCTGAGCACACGGACACCCAGCCCTGGAGACACGCCCTCCATGTACTGTGAGGCCAAGCTGGGGGCGCACACCTACCAGTCTGTGAAACAGCAGCTGTTCAAGGCCTTTCAGAAGGCTGGCCTGGGCACCTGGGTGAGGAAACCACCGGAGCAGCAGCAGTTTCTACTGACTCTCTAGGCTGCGGGCTCCTGGCTGCTGGAGCTGAGCGGGACGCTGGAGGGATGGGACCGTGTCTGGGGGGCGACGTGGCGGGTCGGCCGGTTCCCTGCATTCGTTTTACTTTGGTGTCCCAGAAACACGCGAGTGTGCAATGTTTGGACGAGCAACAACACAAATTCAGAACGTGCCTCTTTCCAGATCGCTGGCCCCAGAACCCTGTCCCCCACACCCAGGGGCACATGCACTGTTGAGTTAGCGCCGACTCTTCCTGTGGAGTCTGAGGGAGGGGCTCCATTCAGGCAAAGGGGTTTTAGCTGCAGCCTTGGAAGGAGGCACCGACACGACACCAGGCAGGAGTGAGCCTCAGGCCCCGTCCCTGCACCCCACCCCTGCGTGCGCCTCTTGGTGATGCTGGGGTCTCACTAGCTTGAGGGGGCACATGAAGATAAGCCACAAATGAAGAGAAAAGCCATGCCCACCCCAGCCCCAGAGAAACCAATAAGAATCCTCTATTATTTTCACTATTCATTTAGGTTTTTATACTCCACCTCCTTTCAAAAAAGATTTAAGATGTACGACATTACCGAACACCTAAAATAGAACCAGAGAAACGAAAGCCATTCCCACAAAGTGAAGGAACAGTTTCCAAAACCCCTGCGAGGCAGAGTTAAGACCTGTGACGTGGGGAGCCTGGAAACACCCGGCCCACGCGTGCTGCAGATGTGGGGAGCCTGGAAACACCCGGCCCACGCGTGCTGCAGATGTGGGGAGCCTGGAAACACCCGGCCCACGCGTGCTGCAGATGTGGGGAGTCTGGAAACACCCGGCCCACGCGTGCTGCAGATGTGGGGAGCCCGGAAACACCTGGCCCATGCCTGTTCAGTCCGTCATGGCGTTTGGTTTATGGTGGCCGATACTAAGAGCCACTGAGGTCTGGGTTGTGTAAGGGTTAGCTACCACCCTATAACCTCCCTACCAGGTAATAAGGAGACCAAGTCTTTGATCAAATTCTGATTTTTTAACTAAATTTTCATTAGAAAGCAAGCACAAAATAAAATCAAAACAACCTTTACCTTCAGCTTGAGAGGCTACCAGCTCTCTATTCTTTCAGATTCTCCAATCAACACCTTGCAGGACAAGACCCCAAAAAAGTTCAGCTGTCAAAAAATGTAAGAGGCAGGATTCTGTGACCCTCAGAGCAGGCTTCCAACACCAGAGACCTTCAGCTCACAGTGGAGATGGGACATGGGGGCTTTAGCCCACAGCATCATCCCTGAGAGCCAAGGCGCTGTATTCATACGGGGTCAGGCTCTTTTCCAAGTATCTTTACGTAATCCATGTACCTCGAGCTGCTGTCATCTCACCTCCGAGAACTCATTTCTAACATTCATCATGCTAGATAGCCAGTCTCTCATTTCTCCAACTTAAAAAATCCATCTCTGAAATTCATGACAGTGATGGCAGACGGCAAAGCATGGTGGTGTCCACCTCTGGGGTGTGGGCTTCCCGGAAAGAATCCCAGCTGACCACCCCAGAAAGTGCAAGAATAACATTGTGCTGTACATAGTCAAGTGCTATAAATTACAGTTATCATAATGAGAAGGCAGAAATGAAACTGAGTTGTAGCTATTTGTTACAAGATAATAAGAAGTAGAGATATTAGTATGGAAAAAGAAACTTTTCCTGGGATTTAAAATCAGGCCAAATTTATCACTCGAGTTCTTTTAGAAAAGAAAACAGGTACTGGAGTAGACAACTTCTTCCAGATAAAGTTTCAAAAGATACGAGAACATTTTTTCAAATAAAGGACTCACATTAATCTTTTATAAAAATCACAAAAATAAATGAAATCTTAATTCAGTGCAAAAGCTAAGCTCAAACGACCAGTTTCTATTAAGTTCTGGTAACTTGACATCACTAGGATGAAGCTTAGAGAACTTAGAGTCGAGAGGTGATGGGTGGCTCAGACATTCGCAGCAGTCAGAAGTGAGCGCTCCCCTGAATGCGTGGGAGCACGGCCAGCTCCTGGCTGAAGTCTCCCACCCAGGCCTCAAATCACCTTCATCTGAGATGTTGGCTAGAGAAGCATATAATGCTTTGTCCCAGTGGGCTCCAAATCACGCTGTTTCTGCAGCGAGGGGGCCTGTGTTGTAAGCAGATTTCACTGTCACAGGGAAGACGCAGGGTCTGATTCACGGGACTCGGAAAGCGCTCGGCCACCCAGTGGCCAGCATCATGAAGCCACAGCTGGGGGGTTGGGATTCGTTTTGTCTCAGGCATTGACCTTCCAGAAACAACTCAGACTTTACTGAAATATCAACATCCACATCTGGAGAAAGCCACACATTAATTCCATGCTACCCATTAGTACAAGTGTATGGATTCGTGTATTAAGTCCACAGGAGACTCCATGGAAGGAGAGATTAAAGCTCTTCAGAGAAGGCCGATAGCGACAGAAGAGTTTCCAATGCAGCCAGAGTGAGGTTGAGGTGCCGGAGCCTTTCCGTGGAGGGATCTGTCAGAGGGGATGTGGGCTGCAGAGGGGACCCCACGTAAGGAAAGGAGGGTCCCAGGCCCTGGGTAGTGAAAGGAGAAGGTAGTCGAGGCAGTCAAGGGTGACCCTACACGCAGGAGGCACGCCACACCAGATCACGCCACACGCAGGCTGCTCCCAACTGGCAGGGCCTGACCCAGCCAGGAAGGGCCAGGTCCTAGGATTCCACAGTGCCAGGAGTGCCCGAAGGGGCCAGGTCCCAGGATTCCCACAGCCCCAGGTGTGCCTGGAAGACCCGGGTCCCAGGATTCCCACAGCCCCAGCTATGCTTGGGGGGGCCGAGTCCCAGGATTCCCACAGCCCCAGGTGTGCCTGGAAGACCCGGGTCCCAGGATTCCCACAGCCCCAAGAGTTCCCGGAAGAGCTGGGTCCCAGGATTCCCACAGCCCCAGCTATGCTTGGGGGGGCCGGGTCCCAGGATTCCCACAGCCCCAGGTGTGCCTGGAAGACCCAGGTCCCAGGATTCCCACAGCCCTGGATGTGCCTGGAGGGGCTGTGCCACCTCTGCAGAGATGGAAGGGCTCGTGTTGAAGCCTGAGGATTTCGCCCTCAGGTCCAGGTCAGAACATCCCAGCACCACTTTCAGGCCATGTCTGCCCTGCAGTTTTGACCACTGAATTGGTCTTAAGAGTGGCCACCCATTCCCCTCCAAGTGAGGGGGCAAGACACAAGTAGGGGACGGGTCACTTTCTGTCACCCTGAAAATACGCTGGGCACGACACAAGTAGGGGATGGGTCACTTTCTGTCACCCTGAAAATACGCTGGGCACGACACAAGGGGGGCTGATGAAGTCAGGCCCGCCCCTCCAAGTCCACCTCGAAATCACCGTCTGGCTTCCTCGCACTTCCCACCACCTGACACCGCCAAGCCCCTTGCTTCAGATTTTCTGTGGTCTGTATTCATACCCTTGCTTCAGATTTTCTGTAGTCTATATTCATGCCTGCTTAGGCCCCTACAAAAGTCCTCATAAAACCAGCACCACCTTTATCTGCCTCCAAAACACACACTGCTTTCCCATCAGGAAGATCAGCAATGTGGTTTCCGGCCTGGTTCTTAGTCAAAAAGTTAGTGTCTGGTGGTTTCTGGCCTTTTTGCAGGACGGGGCGCAGGGAACGGCTGCGCGGCCAGGCAGCCTCCGCTGTCCACCTCCAGCCCCGGTTTTGCAGCCGTGTGTGATATCAAGGGATAGAGTTAGGGTTTCTGTGGGTTTTGTTTTTGCTGAGGAAAGGATGTGCAGGTCGATAGCTATTGTTTCCTTTCCATTCCTGTGATTCTCTTTACATCTGTATATATCTATCACACCATGCTGACTTTGTGATGAGTCCTGTTCCTCAGAAACATCAAGCTGGGTTCCTTTTCAAAGAAACACACAGATCATATTTCTCCATCTCATTTTGTTTTCACAGGGAGCTTTTCTTATCAACAAAGTCGCATGCTTTTTTTTTTGGATATAATGTTTATCACGTCTGGAGAGCCATAAACAGTAAATACAGAGGATATCAATGCCCAGAATAGTTATTTTGATGAAATCCTATTTTTAGATAATAAATTTCAAGATGTGTCTATAGTGTATTGTTTAAAACAACTGAAGACATTTGAGACGTACATAAAGTAGACATTTTTAATTTAGGGAAACTTATATGCCCTTTTTTAAGAAGCCATTCTAATAAAATAATCTGACTAATTGGCCCAAAATACAATAAGTATCACTTTCTAACAGAGACCAAAGGGAAGCTGAGAGGCTTTCCTTTTATGTACTACCGTTGGATCGCTGCAGCCGCCTCTCATAACACCCAACAGAACCCGGTGAGGCTCTGTGGGCTTCCCGCGGCCCTCAGGGAGGCTGCAGAGTCCCCTAGTCCATGTCAGGGAGCCGCCATCCCACATACCTCCAAAGCCTGTCCTCGCCTGCAGTTTTTGCAGAGCTCGCGGTTGGAGGTGGAAATTTAGAAGCCCTGTGTTGCAGGAGAGGCAGTAGCACCCCCAGGCAGCTCTTAGCAGGGACAGACCACCCCCCGCCTCGCTGGTATTTTAGGGTCTTTTGGTATTTTGCCACTGTGTGGGGCTAGGCGGGTGGCTGGAGGACACGGTGTAGGCCTTGCCGCTGTCTGGGTTCCTCGCCACTGCAGGAGCAGGGCTGTTTCTGGAAACACTGGGCTGCTGGTGACCCGTCAAACTTCTCCCACAAATTCTGAATCCGAGAAAGTGAAGGAAGGATGGTGGGGAAGTGAGGAGGCAGGAGCAGAGGCCACAGGGACCAACCAGAGATGCGGTGGAGACAGAGGAGCTTCCTTCTCAGGCTGTTTCTGGGAAGCCTGAGAGGCGGCCAGCACCACCCTCCGCTCACTCTCCCCTCAGCCTCTTCGCTTCCCTTCTCAACCCTTTCTCTCCTCCTCGCCTCTTCCCTTTCTTGCTGTCTTGTTAGTCCCTGTCCCAAAACTCCTGGCTCCTTTGTTCTGCTGCCGTGGCCCCCACCCAGGAGGAGGTCTCAGGCACCATCCCCCCACGAGGGATCCACACAACAGGTTCATGCTGGGGCTGGGGGAGCCCCGCTGGGTTCCTGATGCCTTGTGCACAGGGAGTTGCTGCAGTCATTTTTGGACTCTCCTGAATGTGTCCACATGTTCTGACCTCCCACCAGAAGGAACGCTGGTGGCCACATCTCTAGAGATCTATTTACTTTTTTGAGACCGGCTTATGAGATTGGCTAATTTTTGTATTTTTGGTAGAGATGGGGTCTCACCATGTTGCCCAGGCTAGTCTCGAACTCCTGGCCTCAAGTGATCTGCCCACCTCGGCCTCCCAGAGTGCTGGGATTACAGGCATGAGCCACCGCGCTGGCCTCTAGAGATTCACACCAAACAATATCACTCCTGCGGGAACCGCAGACAGATCAAACCCTGGTGAGAGGAACACTTTATTTCCCAACTCATCATCCTAAGCCAAGGTTGGAGGGATGAGCATTCCCTAAACACCAAGGCGAGATCACCTGGTCCCAGTGCCTCTTTTCACACAGGCCCTAGATTTCTATCTCTCTGCAGTTTATGCATCGGTAAAAAAAAAAAAATCTCTCCCAGTGTGCCCCGTTAGTTTTCAGCATTTTGTAAGCAAAATGAACTTAACACATAGTAATTCTAATTGAAGGTATGTACATAAAAAGCATGATAGAATGGCAATATTGTATCAATGGATGTACATTTGTAATATTTGTAAAAAAAAATCCAAAACCTTAAAATATGAATTTACATGTTAATTTGCCTCTAAGTTCTATAAATTGCACTTCAGTGATATCTAATAAGTGAATGTTTCTGTTAAGTAAATAAAAATATTCAGTAAAATTGTTCTTTCCTGGGTTGTTGGGCCTTTTTCATCAAGCAAAGTTCTGGGGGTCTCAAGACTGTACAATGTGTCCACCCACCCCAAAGAAGGGACACAATCAGCTCTAAAACCTTTTCCTGGCCAGGCGCGGTGGCTCACGCCTGGAATCCCAGCACTTTGGGAGGCAGAGGCCGGCGGATCACGAGGTCAGGAGATCGAGACCAGCCTGGCCAACACGGTGAAACCCCATCTATACTAAAATACAAAAAATTAGCCAGGCATGGTGGCGCATGCCTGTAATCCCAGCTACTCGGGAAGCTGAGGCAGGGGAATCGCTTGAAACTGGGAGGCGGAGGTTTCAGTGAGCTGAGATCAGGCCACTGCACTCCAGCCTGGTGACAGAGTGAGACTCTGTCTCAAAACAAACAAACAAACCCTTTTCCTTTTTCTAATGGTCACATCGACTAGTGGCCTCTGCCTGAGCAGCAGTTACTAGCCCGACATTAGCCTTACAGATTTACTGTAAATGAACTCATTATAATAGCACAGGGCCGGACGTGTAAAGAGCTCCCTCCGAGCCTTGAGCCCGCTTCCCATTAACTGCATAAAATGAATTAATCACTGCGTGCGTGACTTTGCGCCTCAGTTTTCTCACCAGTGTGTGAACACAGCCTTAGCCTCCTACTTCCCAGGGCTGCTGAGGGAGGCTTGAGGGGTTGAAGGGTTATGAAATCTGAGATGTTCGATGTTCTGAGTCCTCTCCCAGATTTGCCGTAGCTTTGCCATAACACACGGAGCACGGGTGTGGCTGGTAATTTTATGTAGAATACTAAGCCAGGTGGGAACTGGGGTGTAAGGGATTCCTAAACGTCTCGGGGGCTTGCGCCACAGCTCCATGTCAGTCTGCGTGGACTGAGCACCCCAGAATCCAGTAGAGTGTTTTCCCCGTGACACATCTTGCTGCTTTCCAGGGACCTAACTGTGGGCATGGCAGGCCCAGAAAGGGACATCCCTGTGCTGGCTGAAGGGACTTTGATTTCTCACTGTCACCCAGGAAATAGACTAAAATTACAGCCATGCTGAGTACGGGGCTCCAATGCTGCAGCCGGAGGGGCCGGGATAAGACGTCTTGTTTGGAGTTGTTGCTCTTGTCCACCTCGCGTCTCCAGTCCCACCCTACCTCCCTTCAGGCCAGGCTGCGGGTGCCTGCATTTGGAGGTGTTGCTCTCACCCACCCCGCGTCTCCAGTCCCACCCTACCTCCCTTCAGGCCAGGCTGCGGGTGCCTGCGTTTGGAGGTGTTGCTCTCGTCCACCCCGCGTCTCCAGTCCCACCCTACCTCCCTTCAGGCCAGGCCGTGGGTGCCTGCATTTTTTTTTTTTTGTCTGTGTGTTTCACATTAACCACAGTGATTCTCCACTCAAGGGAGGGTGCAGGGGGTCTCAGATGGGGGCAGAGGTGGAGGTGGGGGGGCTCTGAAAACACCCCAGAAGATTCTGATGCCTCCCCCTCATCCACAGGTGGGGGCCATTCCTCCGGGTGGGCTGTCAGCGCCCTAAAGAGCATCTCATTTCTTGGGCCTTATGATAAATTACCCCATAGACAGCAAAACAAGGGGTCAGGGTTATGGGCAGAGAATGAAGAAGACCTGCAGGTGTAAAGAGGGTTCAAGATGAACCTCAAAGGCGTCAGAGTTGCAAGGTGGCTCAGTGGTCCCTGGCCAGAGTCACTGAGCATGGAGAATCAGAGTGTTGGGAGGGATGGTTTAATGGCTCAGGGACAGAAAGGTCTCCAGCCTCATCTCTTAGTGGCCCAGAAGTGGCTCCTGGGGTTGGTCTTTGCTGTCACTCACAGAGGAGCCCCTCCTACCCAAAAAGGCCCTCGTTCTTGCCAGTGGGGGGGTCTGCCTCTTGGTAACCCCTCCAAACATAACGGCTTCACACATCTGCCCAGTCTTTCTTCACGCCTGCCCTCACCCCAGACAGCCTCGTCTCCTATGTCATTTTTCTTTCTTGTTGAGAATTTTTTTAAAGCATGAAACCTGAAGTTGATGATAAATCATCTTAGTGAGAGGTTTCAGCTAAGTGCATGTTCCCAAAGGAAGTAACCACCATCCACTCTGATTCTCAAAATCTGATAGGTGTGTGTGGGGTTGAAGGACAAAGTGGCCACAGCAGTGGTCCTTATGCTCTGTGATTGACACACCGCTCTGTGATTGACACGCCTTCGTCTGCTTTGAATCTTTTTTTTTTTTTTTTTTTGAGACAGAGTCTCGCTCTGTGGCCCAGGCTGGAGTGCAGTGGTGAGATCTTGGCTCACTGCAAGCTCCGCCTCCCAGGTTCACGCCATTCTCCTGCCTCAGCCTCCCGAGTAGCTGAGATTACAGGCACCACCACCACACCCAGCTAATCTTTTGTATTTTTAGTAGAGACAGGGTTTCACCGTGTTAGCCAGGATGGTCTCAATCTGCTGACCTCGTGATCCACCTGCCTCAGCCTCCCAAAGTGCTGGGATTAGAGGTGTGGGCCACCACACCCAGCCTGCTTTGAATCTATTAAATCCAGTTCCGTTAGTTGGGTTAAACTTGATGACGGAAATGCACTCTCCCTGGAGGGTTTCAGAAAGCCACTGCCCTTAAAGGGCCAGCTTTCCCAAAAGAAAGCCTTTCATCAACAGAGATGAAGCCGGGAGGAGACCGAGGAAAATCATGAGCACAAATACAGAGGACCCCAGAGCAGTTGGCCTCCATCTGCTGGCCTGTGAGGATTACACATTGCTTGACAAAACCCAAAACTGAGGTGGCTGAGAACCTCTGCATGTTCCCACTGCTCAGAGCTCAGGACCACAGGAGAATGTGCCTCACACACCGAAGGAAATAACCTCATGAATCTTCATGGATGGAACATTTGGCTCGGTCAAGGAGTGGGCTTGGTATGGAGTGATGGGAAGGGGAAGCTGTGTGGAGTCAGGGGGCTGGAGTAGAGTGGTAGGGAGAGGACCACGAGCACACAGCTCTGTCCTGAGGACATGGCCCCTCCCTAGACCACATTCACCCATCTCTGTCCTGAGGACGTGGCCCCTCCATAGACCACATTCACCCATCTCTGTCCTGAGGACGTGGCCCCTCCATAGACCATGAGCACACAGCTCTGTCTTGAGGGCGTGGCCCCTTTGTAGACCAGGAGCACACAGCTCTGTCCTGAGGATGTGGTCTCTCCATAGACCACATACACCCATCTCTGTCCTGAAGACATGGCTTCTCCATAGACCATGAGCCCACAGCTCTATCCCTGAGGTACGAGATGGTTGCTTGAGAAGCCAAGCACAGGGAAAAGTGATTGTCCACATTCTCATCCACAGCCCCTAAGCATTGCGGGCCCCCAGCACTCCTCTCTGGACAGTGAAAGAGACAACCTCATGGTCAGCTCGGTAGGAGCTTTTTATCCTTTCAGTATTTAGTCAATATCAAAAATATCAGGGCCTGGGGTGGTGGCTCACACCTGCAATCCCAACACTTTGGGTGGCCAAGGTGGGAGGATCACTTGAGGCCAGGAGTTTGAGGCCAGCCTGAGCAACACAGCAAGACTGCATCTCTACAAAAGAAAACTACAAAAATTAGCCAGGTGTGGTGGTAGCAGCCTGTGGTCTCAGCTACTCAGGAGGTTGAGGTGGGAGGATCACTTGGGCCTGGGAGGATTGCTTGGGCCTGGGAGGCTGAAGCTGCAGTGAGCTGTGATCATGCTACTGCACTCCAGCCTGGGCAATGGAGTGAGACCTTGAGACCTTGCGTCTCCATAAAACAAACGAACAAACAAACCCCAGCTGTCGTCACACTCTGAACACCACCTGTGCGTGTGCGCCGCTGAGGACGGCGGGTGGAGCGCATGCCCTGTGTTCACGCGCACCTATGACTGCTGAGACCCGGGATGCTACCTCCACCAGTGCTTCATTTCATCTTATTCAGATGAACACAGCAGGGACCCACTCACGGGTTGGGAACGGGCTCGATTCTGTGCCTGGACACAAAGTTAGCACCGCAGCAAGCACGTGTTCCACCTGCGAGCGGCTCCCGTGCGGTTCTACAGGGGTGCTGCGCCCCGGCGGGTCCTGCACACACTGCTCCAGCGACACGTTCTGTTCTCCAGGCCCCTGCACACAGCCAGTCCATGTCGAAGCTTCTGCGTCCTGCCCCGTGCCCTCTGATGGAGGAGGAATTAAACAGGGCTCGAGGGCACATGGGCATCTAAGAGTCACAGCACCCGGTGCAATGCAACTGCTCCCAGTCGACCTGCCACTCGTGCCCACAGGCTCAGGGCCTGGGACTCAGGGCCCCACGTCACCCTAGGGCTGCCCAGCCCTCCCGATCCCTCCAGCACCTCACACAAACCTCCTGGCCTCCCTTGGCAGCTAACTCCACACCAGATCATTTTTCAAAAGAATGTAAAGTAGATTCAGAAATTCCTTGCCAGGCCTGGCCAAGCATGACCTAGGGTCTCACAGGTGTGGGGGGAGGCCGGAGAGGGAGGAGCAGATATGCACAAGGCTGAAGCTGATCACCAGAGGCCCCGGGAGCTGCTTTTTCTCACTCAACCAACACAAGCCAAATCTCTCATGCAATTTCATGAAGCCAAATACAGGTACTTTATGTAGCTTGAAAGGAGTTTAGTTGAACATCTATTAAGCACCTACTACCTACGAGGCACTGTGCTAGTGGCTGAGGGAACGAAAGGACAAGGCCAGGCTGCCCCGTAGCTCACTCTCTGGTGCAGAAAACAGGCGAGGAGAGCCCAAGAGGCTGGAGGGGAGCTGCTCCCTCTGCCGCTGTGTGCAGTGAGTTCTGTGTGGTTAACAGCTCTTACTGCAGAATGGAGAAAACGGGAGCTGCGCACTGTCACTGAGAGGACACAGCCTGTAAATCAGCGTCCCGGGGGCCTGGCATGCTAGGCTTAGTCATACATATAAAAAAACAACCAACACATCACAAGATGCCAAGATTTTATGGAATAACCAAGAATAGCGTGACCAATGTCGCCTTATGAGAAGCTGAGGATGATGCTGCAGAAGCCTCTTCCTGAAGACGCACCCTCGTCACAGCAAAACTTCGACTACGTTCTTCCCTGTCAGCATGTTCTGACATTTCAAAATAGTGATCAATTCCCCGAAGTCTACGATTTCTGAGCAGACTTAGTAGCCACAGGCCCCATCTCCTTCACACTCACGTTTCAGAATCCAATGCCCAGATGTCATCGATGTTTGCCTCAAAGGAATCAGCGTGGGATGTGGGAGGCTGGGTGGGGACCAGATCAAAGGACACGGCCCAGAGATGACGGCACTGGGGCTCATTCTGTCCTACTTTGCAGGTGTTTGAACATTTCCATAATGAGATGTTTAAGAAGAAAAGGAAAGGAAAATGACCACTATTACTGTCCCTGAGAAGGAAAAATAAGTATTTATCCCTTTTCTTCTTTCTTGTAAAGGGAAGATCCCAGGCAGGCTCTCGCCACTGGTGGGGCAGTCAGCAGTGTGGACACGGATGTCTGGGCCGGGGGACAGCGCATGGCTCCGCATGAGAGGAAAGGGAAGAGACCCCAGAGATGCAACGGTGGGCTGGTGGGTCTCAGACAGAGGGGAGCAGGAGGGCATGAGGGATCCCACGGGGTAGGGGCCACTGCTCTTCCGAGGGCAACAGCCTGGGATAGAGGAGCTGATGGTGTCCTGGGCTAGTGTGGGTTATGTCCTGTCTCTGTGCCCGCCAGGGGCCTCCTTCCAATGCTGCTCCTGCCTGAGCATTTCCAGTCAGAACTCTGTGGGGAGTGTGTACTCACGAGTGTGCATGTGTGTGCTTTGCACATGTGTACACGTGTTGCATTGTGTGCATGTGTATGCATGTGTGTGAGCATATGATGTGTGTGCATTGGACATGTGTGTGCATGTGTGTGCTTTGCACTCATGGACATGTGCTGTGCATGTGTTCTGTGCATGTGTGTGTTGTGTGCACAGGTATTGTGTGTATGCATGTGTATGTGTGTGCTGTGTGCATGTGTGTGCATGTGTGTGCCGTGTTGCACATGCATGCATGTGTACGTCTGTGTGCATATGTGTGTGTGTGCTAGATTTAGCACACAAGAGGCTCAGAAGGGAGCAGGGGCAGGAGCTGTGTGATCAGGCGTGGGTACCAGCCCCTTCCGTGCCAGCCTCCTGGACATCCCCTGGGCGGTTGCTCTCCAGGCTCTGAGTGCTCTTTGGTCTTCAGGCCTCTCCTGCCCACTCAGCCCTCCGTGCGCGGGTGATGCCCAGATCTGGGCCTTTCATCAACTTCCCTGAACCCTTGTCATGGCTTCCTGAGGGCGGCTTGATCACCACTCCTTGATCACCACTCGCGTGTGCTTGCCCATCCCTCCAGGGCCCTCCTAACCCTGGCCTCCATCGGCCCTGGCCCTGCTCGTTTTTCTTGGCGATGCCCCCGAATGGTGTCCCCTACAGCACACAGATGTGCACAAGGGGACACACCACCTCGCCATGCCTGGTGGCTTCCCACGTTAAGACTTTTATGCTGAGCATGAGTTTTTTGCAAGTGAAGACGTTGGTGCCTCCTCCCTGTCTCCTGGAACTCCCAGCCCCGCATGCAGCCAGCTCTGTGTGGAGGGGAGAGGGCTTTGGAATGAGAGAGCTCTGCCACTTTCTGGCTGTCATTTCAGAAAAGCATTAGACTCCCTCAAGTTTGCTAGTTCATCTGTGGATAATGGCAGCCCCAATGGTGCCTGCCACCTGGACGTGTCGTGAGGCAAGAGACCTCAGGGCCCTGCACTTTTGGGGAAGGGGCGAGCTTGGCCGCCGAGGGAGGAGTGCAGGCATCAAACTCGACTCCTCCTGGGAGTCCCTTGCTGCTGGCTCAGGATGAAACAGAAGATTCGAACTCTGCTGCTCTCTTCTGGAGCTGCCGGAAGCTGCCTGGTTCACGTGGACATTATGTATCATTAAATAAAAGACAGCGAAGATCATGGCTTCTCATACAAGCCAATAAATTTCGGTGGATAGAATTCCCCAAAATAGAATGTGCACTTGGACACCCTGAGCCAATCTCGGCATTGCTGGTGTGAGCCGTCCTCACACAGCTCAGAGGCCAAGGACAGGGGCATGGCTGCTGCTTACGGGCAGTGAACAACCCACCCTGACCAGCCAAGGGGCGGCTCTGGGGCCCCAGCTCAATTCCAGGTGTCATCGGAGAGTGGGGGTGTAAGAGGGGCAGGAATTCCTCAGCAAAGCACATTTAGCCAAGTGTTCTCTCCGTTTGGGGAACCATTTCAGCTGCTTTAGCAGACGATGAAACAGCAGTGGCTTAGACAACACAAGAAAACACGACACCCCCATGGAAATGCCGGACACGTCCCTGGAGCTGTGGGACATACATGGTCTCGGAAGCCCCCTCTTCCCACTCAGGTGCTTACTCAGCCTCCCAAGGTTGTGCTGGGAGTACATCAGGGCATGGGGCTGTGGTGGTGAAGGTGGGAGAGGGGCACGGGGCTGTGGTGGTGAAGGCGGGAGAGGGGCATGGGGCTGTGGTGGTGAAGGCACTGGGGGGGTGTGGGGTGGCCACTGTAGGGCGTGGCCAGGTACCGAGGGCTGCTCAGCTGCATCCAGGGAACGCCTCCCCCCGCACCCCACCATGGGTCACTCAAGACTCGAATCTGCACAACTTTCTTTCCCCTGCTGCCCTGGCCCTTCCGAGCCGGGAGATGTGATTTGCCTCGTAAAAAGTAAGCCTTCAAATTCTATTCTTGGGGCTCATGAATGAACGAGGAAAGCACTACAAAGCCAAAAGGAAAGGAAGGTGCATCGGTTCCTCCTGCAACACAAACTTCTAGCGGCCCCACGAGGCGCTATGGGCTTCAAAGGAAGTCATACCAGGGAGCCCTCGGTAAGCTGCCCGGATACAGGCACAGCCCAGCCTGCAGCCCACAGCCCACAGGGGAGGCTGAGGACATGCCAAGGCCACCCGTGCACACCTCCACCCCCGCTGGGACCCTGTGAGCCAGCCCTGTGCCCGGCGGGAACCTAACTCACTGGGTCCTGGCATTATGGTGCACGTAAGCCACGCAGCAGATGAAGATACTTAAAACTACTGGGTGTCAGAACATGCCACACCTTTCTAATCATATCCAATGACACCTCTTATTAGTTTAATTAAAACTGAATGCTTAATTTGGCCATACGGAGACAGAACACAGCAAGTTGTACCTAAAAGCACTCATTAGCGCCTGGACAGTGCGATCCTCTGGGAGGTGCTGCTGGCGGTGGGATTCTTACAGCCGTGTGGAGAAAAGTCGGCCTGGATGTGCAGCCTAGCCCCACCACCTGGCCAACTAATACCTCCAATGTGCTTTCCTGTCTATCAGGTAAGAACAGCAGCAGCTCAGGCCGGGTGCAGTGGCTCACACCTGTAATCCCAGAACTTTGGGAGACCGAGGCGGGTGGATCACCTGAGGTCGGAAGTTCGAGAACAGCCTGGCCAACACGGTGCAACCCCGTCTCCACTAAAAATACAAAATTAGCCAGGTGTGGTGGCACCTGTAATCCCAGCTACTTGGGAGACTGAGGCAGGAGAATCGCTTGAACCCAGGAGGTAGAGGTTGCAGTGAGCTCAGATTGCGCCATTTTACTGCAGCCTGGGCAATAAGAGAGAAACTCCTTCTCAAAAAAAAAAAAATACAGCAGCTCTCATGCAGGGTTTTTGGAAGACTAGAAATAAAGTGTGTAAAATATCTGATATGTAATAGTCACTAATAAATAATGGTTGTTATGATTGGCTAATAGAGTGTCAATAACTCTTCATTGATAGTGGTGTGGATAAAGGAGAAGCCCTTATTTCAAAGGAATCAAAACATACCACAACACAATTTGACATAATTTTATACATGGTTATCCCACCTGTAGACAGTAATCTACCTGAAAGCAGGGGAGATATTTGTCTCAGGGATTCAATCTGTAATTTTCGAATCAGTGGGCCTACCCTTTGTCTGTATCACCATATTCTATCGTATGCTTCTTGAGTGAAAAGATTTTTTTAATTATCTTTTCTTCTTAAAGGATTAAAAAACCTGAGAATATCAATTGTGCCCTTCCTGGTTTAGCAGTATTAATAAGGTAAGGTGTCTATGACAGTAGATTATTATCAACACACCCACCTCACTGTGGTCATCAGACACTTGCAGAGGAAGTACCTGCCTGGAGACACATCTGTGGTCTCGGCCAGAGAACCAGAGCCCCACCATCAAGAGACTTACGCGCGTGTGCCCCCCACCAGGAAATCCTAACGGACCAAATATCTAAAAGCACAGAGTTTCGGAACTAAACTCTAATCTAGTGCAACTTCATTGTTGGTTTAATAAGGGGGTGAATTTTTTACTATCAGAAGGAACTTTTCCTTGACCGTTTCATACCATTTTTCTTAGGGTACGTGAATGCATTTAAGACAACATTTTGTTTCCTCTCATGGCAAATATAAACCTTATATTATGAAGTTTTCTAGTGTATGAAGTGAAGCTTATTTGTGTTTTCAATAGACCAATGACTGCTAGAAAAATTTCTATCCTAAGAAAACAGAAAAACCAATCAAACTCGGGAGAAATCTCCTTGCCCACAGAGATTACAGAGCAATTCTTTTGTGACCCTAAAGAGAAATATATAGCACAGGTGAGGTGCTCAATGACACACAGGCATTGAGGAGTGAGGGGTGAGTGATCACAGTGCATGTCTGAGATGGAATTTCATCTCACGTTGTATCAGAGCCGTTCATGACAGAGGAAAGCGTCAGGCCACGCGGTGTGGTGGGAAAACGGGACGGTGGAATGTACTCCATGGAAAGAAACAGTTATCGGTGTCTCTCTCTGAGTGAGAGGCTTGTGGACGACGTTTCTATAATACATTTCACATTTACAATTAGGAAAAATCATTATTTTCAAAATACCGATGCCAATTGAATTAAGTCACAGGAGTGACGGAGCCTAAGATTCTACTGCGGCGCAATGGCCAAGAGGCTAGCGCAGACACTTTCTTCAAGATGAAGGGAGTTCTCTTTGAAGATACTTTTTCTCTCCTGCTCAGGGGTCTTTTTAAGCTCCTTTCACTTGGAAGGACAAGTATATCCCCAAAGTTGTCCCAGAAATGGCTCCTGCTGCTGCCGTGGGTGCCGGACCTGGTGTGGCCACTTCTGATTCTGGGTTTTGCGGGAGAGGCCTGCCGGGACGTCACCTCTCCAGGCTCCTCCCTGGGTCAAAGATTCAGATAGAGGGTTTCCCGGTGTTCCAGCTGGCACGGAGCCTCCTGAGCACTGGCCCAGTGAGCACCTCGACCCCCTGAAGTCAGGGTGGCTGGAGGGCCAGTCCCAGGGGTTTCAGTCAAGTCCCAGCTCAAGGAAGCCACCGGGGATCATGAGCTGCTGAGCAGGAAGAGAGCAGTCAGCTTAGAGGCTCTCAGGGAAGAGGCCAGGAGCCCTTCCTTAGGTCTGAATTGTCCAGGCGGCCACCCCATCCTTGGCCTCTGGGAGCTCCTGATAGTCAGGGAAACGTGACATGGGAGCCGTGCATCACATCGAGGGAAGCCAGCCCCAGCCTGAGCCTGACCATCTGGCTCCAGCCGTGACCTCCGAGAAGACACTTTCTTAGTTCATCTTTGTCTGAAAATGAGGCCTCTACACCTACAGGTTACATGAAATGTGTGACGTGGGCAGCAAAGTCCTGGCAGGTGGTGAAAAACCCAATAAATACCTGTGAGATGAGCAGCCACCGTCCCACGGCCCCTGGAGAGAGGAACGCAGCCCCTCAGGAGCCCCCTCAATCTGAGCATCCAGCATGGGGCTCAGCTTCCCACTATGGCTGCACCATCTCCACCCTTTGAGCCTCTGAAATGGGTCTCCTGGCTGAAGTCAGGGTGGCTGGTGGCCTGCCTCCCCTCCTCCCCTCTCCCAGGACCCGCCATTCCCGCTGTCTTCTCAGCCAGCAAGGTCCTTGCACCCTGCTCTCCCGTGCACCCCCAGTGCTCGTCCTGCACCCCTGGTCCTCCCGCTGCTCCCCTGGTCCTCTCCCTCCTCACCCCTATCCTCCCCCTGCTCCCCCCAGGTGAGCTGTGGGGCTTCTGTTCCAGGCCAATTCTTTCAGTGATGCTCCCTGGGCTGTCCCAGGTTCCTTCCTGTGGACCTTGTAAGTTCTTTGAAGCTGCCAGGTGCCAGGCTCCCAGACAACAGGACCCAGTGCATCATGCTAATATACAATACATAGTGCCTGCTATTTACAATGTAATCTTAATGTATGGCACACAGCACCTACTACATAATGCATAGTGCTTCCCATATGACCTTGGCATACAATCTTCACAAAACAGACTGAGCACCTCCTACATATTCCATAGTGCTTCCTATATGACCTTAGCATCCAATCTTCACAAAAGAGACTGGAGAGGAAAATCAGTTGCGGTCCTAACACTGCCTCTTTCTCACTGTGCCTGCCTTGGTCAAGGCACCTGACCTTCCTGGGCTACAGTTTGCCCTTCTGAAAATGGCATGTGTACTGGAGGACTTATCTCTCACAGACCTAAAGTTCTATAGCTCTCTACAGCCACTCAGGAAAACAGCAGAGAGGTTCCTCAAAAAAACACAAATAGAACTACCATGGGACTCAGCAACCCATTGCTGGGTAAAGACCCAGGTGACAGGAAATCCATGGGTTGAGGAGACATCGGCACCCCCACACTTATCGCAGCACTGTTCATAATCACCAAGGTATGGAATCGCCCTTGGTGCCCAACAACGGAGAATGAATAAAGAAAATGTGGTGTAGATACACAATGGAATACCATTCTCCCATGAAAAAAATGATATCCCAGCATCTGTGACAATATGGATGAGCTTGGACATCATGTTAAGCGAAATAAGCCAGGTACAGAGAAACAGGTACTGAGCGATCTCATATGGAGCTCTTGTATGGATTTCTTGTATGTGAAATCCAAAAATAACACAAAATTTTAAGTTGATCTCCTAGGAGCAGAGAGTAAACAGTGGTTATGGAAGCTTGGGAGGGGAGGATGAGGACAGGGGATGAGGAGAGATTGTTCTACTGCACAATAGGCTGACTTTGGTTAACAATAAAATAGCATATATGACAAGATAGCGAGATGAGAGGCTTCTGAGTGTTCTCACCACAAAGAAATGATACACGCATGGGGCGATGCATGATGACACATGCATGATACACAGTGATACATGCACAATGATGCATAATGATACATGATGATGGTACATGCATGATACATGCATGAGGTGATACATAATACATGCATGAGGTGATGATACATGCACAATGATGCCTAATGATGCATGATGATGGTACATGCACAATACATGCATGGTGATACATGATAATACACGCATGAGGTGACACATTATAATATATGCATGAGGTGATTAATGATACAGACATGATGATGCACAATGATGCATGATGATGGTACATGCACAATACATGCATGGTGATACATGATAAAACACGCATGAGGTGACACATTATAATATATGCATGAGGTGATTAATGATACAGGCATGATGATGCACAATGATGCATGATGATGGCACATGCACAATACATGCATGGTGATACATGATAATACACGCATGAGGTGATACATTATAATATATGCATGAGGTGATACATAATGATACAGGCATGATGATGCACAATGATGCATGATGATGGTACATGCATGATACATGATGATGCACGATGATACACATAATGATCCACCCTTGAGGAAATGGGCACACACACTACCCTGATTGGATCATTACACAACACAGATATGCATGGAAACAACAAATCGTACCCCATAAACATGTACAGTGTGTCCATTAAAAGTTAAATACATCAACTTTTTAAGTCTTCTGCAGCCTAGCTCTGTCTCATTTGTCTTTTAAGCTTTTCATGCACCTGGTACTCTTATTCTGTCATTCATGGCACCCAATGCAGTGCTCTGTGCATAGATGGTTTACCACATGTAGTAAGAGTAAATGAAAATAAATTTCATGCTTTCTTGCTACTTACCTTACACTAAAAAGTATCAGGTACTTGACTGTGTACTCGGCACTTGCCACTCACTTTTCATTACTGTTTTTAATCCTCACAACTTTAAGGAATGGGTATTTTTGGCCTCACACAATAAATGAGGAAACAGCATTAAAGAGCTTAAGCAACTTGCCCGATACATCAAAGCTACACGGTTGGAGCTCTTAATCTCCACCCAGATGGCTTTCAGCTGCTCTCCAGAAAACTGAGAATGTGGGGAGACAGGCGGGTTTCTCTAACACGAAGCTCTTCTGTTTATCTGGTGAGAATCTATGGTTCTCCCACAAGGGCTCTGACAAAGTTTCTTGGACCCAAAAGATACTGACTGCATTTCCCAGTTCCTGGGAATCTAAGATCTAGAAGTCATAGAAAGAGATGATTTTGGGGCCTCTGGTCAACATCAAGGCACCTGCTGAGGTGTGAAATGTGAGCACTGTGCCCTGACATGGTGGGTACATGTGGAGCACACCCACTTCTGACAGCCGACTGGGGCCACAAGTGGGACCAAGAAAATGTGCGCCTATCTCAACTTTGGTCCTGTGTGTGGAACACACACACACACACACAGAACTTGTGTATAAAGAACGCATCGTCTTCACAAGATGGTCATCTTGGAGAGGCAGAGCTGAGAAAGACTCCACTCCTCGGAAGCGTGGCTGGTGAAAGTCCGCCCTCATGAGCACAGTCCCTGATATCGCCTAGCGGAGGTCCGCGCTCACGAGCACAGTCCCTGATAACGCCTAGCGGAGGTCGGCGCTCACGAGCACAGTCCCTGATAACGCCTAGCGGAGGTCAGCGCTCACGAGCACAGTCACTGATAATGCCTAGCGGAGGTCTTAGAAGGGCCACGCGTGTGTCATTATCACATACTCACTGTAAGAGTTTGCGGATACTTCCCCAACGGCTTCATTTATCCAACTGTGGAAAGAGCTTGCAAGCCAGGTCATGATTGAGAACCCGCGTGGACCCAGCAGCCAGACCGCACACCCACGTGATGTGCCCTGGAAAGTGCCTGCCGTGGGTCCAGAGGGCAAGAGGTGAGGAAGTGCCACCTGTCCAGTGAAACCAACCCCACCTGTAGTGAGAGCAGCACCAGCACTTGCTGGGGCACGTTCCCTGGGATGGCGCAGCCACACCTGCGGGGCTGGAGCCTACCTTTGCTGCTGGACGCTGCTCAGCACCCAGCCCTCCTGCTTTCCTTGGGAGGCTTCCAGGCCCTTGGATGACTTGATGGGACCATTTCTTGCCACAGGAGCCAGAGGGTCCAGACGGCCCCTCCCCAATGACACAGTGAGAAGGGAGGTGGCATGTGAATGAACCCTGACCTCTGAGATGCTCACTCCTGAAACTGTGACTCTTGAGATAAGGACACAAGGAAATGCCCTGCTAACTGCTTCTGCCCAGCCGTCTCCAGCATAGCAGCCCAGCTCGTCACCTCGGAAAGTGCCTTAGCTCTCTGCTGTCAGCCCACATTGCTGCAGCTCCCAGGCCCTGATATCCTAACAGC
This sequence comes from Homo sapiens, assembly GCF_000001405.40. NCBI lineage: Eukaryota > Metazoa > Chordata > Mammalia > Primates > Hominidae > Homo > Homo sapiens. The sequence continues at coordinate 1,162,719 of NC_000010.11, read as the reverse complement.
ACGTTCCCTTTGGTAATTGGCCAGCAGCTTCTGCTGTTTGCATCTAGAAACCCCAAATGACAAAACGGCTCACAGCCTGTTCAAGACAGAGGGCAACGCCACACCTCTAGGAAGCCACCCCTCCAGGCGGAAGGTTTTCCATGCAGAGCTGTGTTATATGTGCAGTCTTCTCCCTGTAACAGAATAGACTTTGAAAGTAAGAACCAGTGTGAATGGAATCGATGCTGGACAGCACAGTCGCAGACTGTGGACCCCACAAATCCTCACATGTGGCATGAGACAAACAGCAGTCCCCAAAACTGTGGGGAAGCTTTCCTTTCAGAAAAACTGGAACAAGCAAAATCACTCTGGAACAAAATGTCACTGGCACAAAGTACACCCAGAGTCCGTGCAGGACAGCCTCCTCTGTCCACACACATTCTCTCTTTATGTTAGTATCAAAACTGCTAGAAAAATGAATATGGGCTCATTCAAAGCCATTAGCTCCCATACAACACAGATGTCTCCATAGCGAGACTGGTGTGTCCATGTTGAATTTCCCCATGTGTGACTCCATCACCGTTCATCAAAGCAATGTGTCACGGTCCCCGTGCCCTTAAGAAAGCATGTCCCTTCTGTAATGTGTGTTTCTATTTCACCTCTCCCGTCTGCTCAGGGACTGAACTGCCGTGAGAAATGAGAATGCTACTCCTGCTGCACCTGCAAGCACATATTATCCCGCAGAACCCAAAACTCTCCAGGAAACACAAAACAAAACAAGACTCCCAACTCTTTCCCTCCAGCCACCTCCACCCCCAGAATTCACTGCAGCCAACACAATGCCAGGCTTCAAAATGGGGCTGTGGGATGTTTGTCTAATTGTCTCCGAAATACTCGCATAGAAGCAAGGCTCCCGCAGTGGCTCACGCCTGTAATCCCAGCACTTTGGGAGGCCAAGGCGGGTGGATCACGAGGTCAAGAGATCGAGACCATCCTGGCCAACATGGTGAAACCCCATCTCTACTAAAAATGCAAAAATCAGCCAGGCATGGTGGCGGGCGCCTGTAGTCCCAGCTACTCGGGAGGCTGAGGCAGGAGAATCACTTGAATCCAGGAGGTGGAGGTTGCAGTGAGCCAAGATCACACCACTGCACTCCAGCCTGGTGACAGAGTGAGACTCCGTCAAAAAAAAAAAAAAAAGAACCAAGGCTCTAGCATTTTCTAATTTTAGGAACCATGAACCATCAGGTGCCGCCAAAGTTGAGGAGGCGTTTTTCTAAATGCAAATCTTCACAGTTTCTTCTGCCAGAGGCACAGAGAGGGCTCACTGGATTTTCTGTTCTACCTCAAAGCCATTGCACGTTTTTTCTTATTTCTTGTTATTTAATTTTTTTTTAAACAAGCCAACCAACTAAAATAACAAATTGATTTTCATTCAGGCAGCTCCCAGAACATAACTGGCTGGACCCCAGTAACGTCGCACACTGTGGAACATCAGGGCCCTCATCTTTAAAGATGTGGCTTGAGGTTTGCAGGCCTTATCGCTCATTAGCTATCCAGCCAGATGCAACTGCTCTGGAAGCAAGTAGCCCAGATAGACAGGACCTTCTGGAAATGAGCCTTCAGAGGCTGAAAAGCGTCTTGGAAGAGCAGCCCACTCTCCACCCAGCTGGCAGCTAAGTGGCTGGTAGTGTTGATTTCATTGTCTGCCTCAGCTTGGGTTCTCTCGGAAAGTCTCTGAGCCAAAGATTTGAGTGCAGGTAATTTATTAGGCACTTGCTCCCAGGCAAAAACGGTCAGGGGTGGGAGGATGAAAGGGAAGAAACCAAAAGTTGCAGAAGCATTGTCCTCGCAGCTAACATGGCCGCGTGCAAACGTGCCAGCCAGCAAGATGTTGGCATCGCCCTCTCAGCTAACATGGCTACCTGTGGAAGTGCCAGCCAGCAGGATGTCGGCATGGCCCTCGCAGCTAACATGGACACGTGCGAACGTGCCAGCCAGCAGGATGTCAGCATCCTCCTTGGAGCTGACATGGCCACGTGCGAACGTGCCAGCCAGCAGTAGTCGGCATGGTGCTGAGCACCCTCCGGGAACCGTCCCTACCTGAAATATGGGTGTGATGTACGGAGCACACGCAGCCACCCTGCAGCATGAGATGACTGTTGAGTACAGGACACGCAGAACGAAGCTGGAAAATGAAAAAAAAAAATCCTGGCTTGCTGACTTCCTGGGGCAAATACTGAGTGTTGGGAGATCATTTCCAGACTTAAATATGAGAGAGAAGTAAACCCCCCTTTTATTTCAAAGCTTAGCATGCCTATAAGTCACCTGCAGATCTTGTCAAAATGCAAGCTCTGACCAGAGAGCCCGGGCTTGTGACTTACATCATCTCCTGCTGAAATGCTGACGACACTCCAAATGGCAAGGGTTTTGGCCTCTATTATTTGGGGTTTTCTATCATTCACCATTGAAACTAATCCTCACTAATTAAAACAGTTTCACATTGGGGAGGAAAATAGTTTTTGTCTACTTTAAACTACTATGACTTAGGGTCTGTCAAAACCTCAAAAACTATATATATATATATTTCATTTCACTCGCTTTCATTTGGGACACAAATGGAGACCTGAATCACAGGTATCTTTGGAAACTGTTCTCAGCCTTCCTAGCTCAGCTGAAATGTCCTTTTCCAGGGACACTGGGCCCAGGGGGTGTGCTGGGGTCTGCGCTGGCTCCCCGGGCATTCATACCTTGGAAAGCTGCAGAGCTGACTTCAGGTTGTGCCAATTCCTGTGCTGCCTCATCCCTCATGTACATAAAGCGTGAGGCGCGCAGGCCTGCACCTGCGCCATCCCTCATCCACCTAAAGCGCGTGGCGCGCAGGCCTGCGCCGGCGCCATCCCTCATCTACGCAAAGCGTGCGACGCTCAGGCCTGTGCCTGCGTCATCCCTCATCTACGCAAAGCGTGCGACGCTCAGGCCTGCGCCGGCGCCATCCCTCATCTACGCAAAGCGTGCGACGCTCAGGCCTGTGCCTGCGTCATCCCTCATCTGCCTAAAGCCCTGCGCGCAGGCCTGTGCTTGCGCCATCCCTCATCTGCATAAAGCGTAGGGCGCGCAGGCCAGTGTGTTGGAAAACAACGCTTTGATGTTGTCTCCTGGATTTTCACAGCCTCCCTCTCACAGGAGAACAGGGGTGGACCCCGGCCTCGAGCACATCTGAGCTCTCTCTCTCCTGCCTGTGCTCCTGTTGAAGACATTCAGCCTCCGACTGCCCTCGGGAGGATGGAGATGCCCAGGTGCCGAGGCCAGAGCCCATGCGCAAAGCGAGGGCTGAGACCACGGAGGCCCCTTGTCTCCTCCAGCGGGTTCCTGAAGCCACGTCCCTGCTTGTGGAGGAAGAAAGCCGAACTGCAGCTCAGGGAGAGGTGGGCTTGCTGGCCTCGCTGGCGGCATCCGAATGCCTGGAGCCTCATGGTGGGTTCTGCTATTGCTGCCAGCAGCTGGATGTTTCGAAATTCGCCCGCTTTGGAATGATACAGTGAGACCTTGGCGGCCGCGCTGCCTGAGACGATGCTCTTACGTCTGCAGGGGAGGTTTCAAGGCCTGCTGGAGTCAGCGGCTGCCTTGCCGCCCTGGGAGGTGAGCAGCCCGTCCCTATGCTGGCTTCCTACAGGATGCAACCTGCATTTTCACCCCAGACAGACGCAGTCTTGGCCATCTGCTTGCCAGCATAGAAAATGCGTTGTTTCCCCCAAGTTTATTTTGGTTAATGGATTGAATTGGTTTTTTTAAACTGCATTGCTTTGAAACATCACTGGAGTTTTTCAGTTTTCATATTACTACATTTTTGATGTATTATCATTGAAATGCTATTTTAATGACGGTCAAAGCGGCTCCCAAGCCCTCCTTCACTGGTGAAGCACCAAGGTGCTCAAGTGAGCTCCCAGTGTACATGAGGGTGCTCTCGCTTTTGAAAAAAAGTGAAGGAGGCTGGGCGCGGTGGCTCACACCTGTAATCACAGCACTTTAGGAGGCTGAGGCAGGCGGATCACGAGGTCCGGAGCTCCAGACCAGCCTGGCCAGCATGGTGAAACCCCATCTCTATTAAAAATACAAAAATTAGCCGGGCATGGTGGCATGCACCTGTGATCCCAGCTACTCAGGAGGCTGAGGTAGGAGAATCGCTTGACCCCAGGAGGTGGAGGTTGCAATGAGCGGAGATTGTGTCATTGCACTCCAGCCTGGGCAATAGAGTGAGACTCCAAGAAAGAAAAGAAGAGAGGGGAGGAGAGGAAGGAAGGAAAAGGAAAGGAAGGGGAGGAAAAGAGAGAAAGGGAGGGAGGGAGGGAGGGAGGGAGATAAGGAAGGAAGGAAAGAAAGGAAAAAAAACGTGAAGGAAATGGAACCCTGTGGCTGTGCAGGTCACGTGGCATTGAGCGGGCCACTCTCTGTTGCCCTGGTGCGGCCCTCACGCCGCGCCAGCCAAAGGCGACCCTGCTTTCGATGACTGTTGGAGGAAACGTTAGCCACGTCCCTCATAGATTGGAAATCTGACATTTGGAAAACTGAACTCAATCATCTTTTTTTTCCCTTTTTTACTTTTCAATTCCTTCTTCCTCGGTTCTCCACTCTCAAAATTTTGCAGTCATCATTGATTCTTTCTCTCCAGAGTTCAGTTCGAGGCCAGGTTCTGCAGAATCCTGAGGTGGCATCACGAGCATCTCCTCAGTCCCTTGGCCGTGACAGCTCCTCCTCCACCCTCCATCCTGGATGAGCCGGTGAAGATGGTTCTTCCTCAGAAATAACTGCAACGCACTGGTCCCCCTCTCAAAAGCCTAGGAAGCTCCCCTATGCTTCAAAACCCAAGAGCTCTGCCTGGTTTTCTCCAAGTCTCCCCCCACCCCCAAATGGCCATTTCCTCTCCCCATGATTGCCTGCACATGTTTCAGTGAAAAAATTATGATTGGTCCCTATACAGGGGCTGTGGCAGGTGAAAAAGAAGGAGTCAGCTGTCAACCTGCAAGTCAACAGCGGCCTCTCCATACAGGGGATCTTCCATTCCTGCCTTTGAGCTTGGTAAGTCGTTCACTTCCCACACAGACCCCAGCACCTCTGCTCGCCACCCCCTACATGCCCCCTGACCCTGATCACACCCACCAGCCTCTGCCACATTTAGAGTTAGATGTCTCTCCCTGTCTCTATCTCTATTTCTTACTGTCCCTGTCTCTCTCTGTGTCTCTCCCTGTCTGTCTCCTGCCTCTCTGTCTCTCCCCACCTCTCTCTGTCCCTGTCTCTCTCTGTATCTCCCTGTCTCTCTGTCCTTCCCTACCTGCCTCTCCCTGTCCATCTCTCTCTCTGTATCTTATTATCTCACTCTGTCTCTCTGTCTTTCCTGTCGTCTCTGTCTCTCCCTATCTCTGTCTCTCCCTGCCTGTCTCTGTCTCTCTCCCTGTCTGTTTCTCTCAGGTGCACACATGCTGCACACACACACACGGGATCACTCGGGAGCTGTTCGCCTCCGTGGTGAGCGTGTCGTGATGCAAAACCCTCTCTCGAGTGTGTTTTGCTGGTAGTGACTGTCAGGGTGCTTTTGGGGTGTGTGCTGATTGCTGTGGTCACTCGAGGGCGGTGATGGGATGGGACCCTCGGCCGGCTCCAGCACCCACGCGGCCTCTTCCACCCAAGGCCGCCCCCACAACAGGGCTGTGAAGACGTGGCTGCACCCCCCAGTGCCCCTGACCTTGAGAGCAAAGTGAGAAGAGAAAGAAAAAGAGGAGCGAGAAGATGACCTCCTAGGACCCCTGCCCCAGGGAAGCCCTGTTCCTCAGATGCGCATCACAGACCCCAGGGGCCTTTTCCTCTAGAAGGTGTCCACACAAACAGCCATGGGGCCCTCTAAAGGTGGCTCCCTTCGCACAGGAGAACACTCAACCACACGGACCCACTGAGGACACACGTGTGCAGCGTGAGCATTGCCATCAGTGCTGCGTGACAGTCACCTCTTCTCCAGACCCTGCTTGGAGTCCCTGACCCGTCTCACCATCACGTGATCTCAAGTTTATTGAAGGAAATCAGATGCAGCAGCAAACATGCTTCTCAGGCTCAGAAACAAAACCCTCGCCACTGAGCTGATGAGTGTCTCTGTGCTTCTGAACAGTGTGGACAAGGTTAATGAATGAGGCCCAGGCAGGCCTGTGGGCTCCTTCAATCGGGGCATCGAAAGCCTGGGAAGTTTTAACAGAGGCTGTTGATGGGCATGTTTCAAAGCAAACAGCATCAGGGCCCTGACAGGCCAATGACAGCACCGTGCAGTGCCGGGGGGGGCCCGGGAGGCACAGCCACAGAGCCCAGCCCTGGGGACACGGGACCTGGGTGGGGGGGCAGAGCCACAGAGCCCAGCCCTGGGGACACGGGACCGAGGGGCCACAGCCACAGAGCCTAGCCTGCACTGGGGATACAGGGCCCAGGGTGCACAGCCACAGAACCCAGCCTGCCCTGGGACATGGGGCGGAGCCTGAGGGTGGCTGGGGTCAGGCAGCCCTGTCCTCGTCCCCAACACTCCACATCCCCAGGGTAGCTGGAGACCCAAGCTGATGACTCGGACGCAGGACAGGAAAGGACATAAGTGACTGACAAGCTCCAGGCCTGTCCTGACAGGATCAGAGGGGAGGCAGGAAGGGCCCTCCATGGCAGGCAGGTGGGGCGCCTCTGCAGAAACCATAGCAGGTTACAGAGAAGAATCGAAAAGAGGCCATGCGGCTGGGGGCAGAGGGGAGGGCCCCCATGAGATGAGGAGGCACTCATCGCGGGAGAGCCAATGGAGAGAGATGAAGATGCGGACGCTGCTCTGGCCATAAAACCAGGTACGCATCTCAGGGGTCTCAAGATGCTTTCTTTATTGTAGATTTTAAATCTCCAGGTGAAGGGTTGTCCATGGATCTTCCCCTGGGCACCTTCTAACGCAACAGACCGCTTGTCTGGTTCCCAAATGTCACACTGCGTGGGGATGAGATGGAATCCCACACAGTGCCTCAGGAAGAACTAGAAACTGCGAAACTCCCAAACAACCCGATAACCACGCAGCTGCTGCAGCAAAGTATGAACACAGCCAGGTGAAAGGCCCACTTCCTCCGGCTCCCCAGCCTGCACTGACACCCACTCCAAAGACAGCTCAGGCCTTCCTAGAAAAGGCAGGTCCTGACCTAGGCTAACACTTGTAGGTAAATTCTTGGATATGAACTACACGCCCTTCAACACTGATATTTCTATAAAGAGAAGGTCAAATAAAAATATAAGCAATCTTGCAAAATTTCTCAACATTTGGGGAGATCTCTTATCTCCCCTTAAATATTGCAAATTTTTTTGCAACAGAGACCATATTTTATCACTCTGATGTTTATGACAAATTGGTAGGAAGTCTAAAAATCTCATTTTAGAGACGGAAATTGAGACCCAGAGAAAGGCTTCTCCTGCTAAACAACTGTTATCTGGTTTGGAGAGAAAAAGAGAGCTAATACAGGCTAGAAAACACATTTTTAGAGAATGGTTGAAGATGAAAGAGTTATTACAAAGCCTAGCAGATGTTAACATGTTATAAGTACATAAAAGAATTTAAAGCTACAGTGATCTTTTCAAACATTATATGATTAGTTTGGTTCATATGCTGGTCATGAAAAGGAATTTATTTCAGTGTAATCTAAGATTTATACCAGCTGTGGTAGGCAGTCATAGTCCCTCAAAAACATCCTCATCCCCATCCCAGGCCCTGCAACTGCGTAACACTCCATGGTGAGGGATTAAAGCTTCAGGGAAAGGAGGTAGCTACCCAGCTGACCTTGAAATAGGGAGGCTGTCCTGGATCATCTGGGTGTACCCCATGTAACCTCAAGGGCCCTTACATGGAAGCTGGCAGAAGAGGCAGAGGGAGACTGGACAAGGGAAGGATGGGGTAGGTGGGGCCATCTGTGGCTGTGAGGATGGGAGGGACCTCCAAGGGGGTCCCGGAGGCTGGAAGGGAAATGGCATCTCCCCAGAGCTGCCAGAAGGGGCCCGGCTATCACTGAGCGGACACCGCGTCGGACTCTAACCCACAGACTGTGAAATAACAAACCTGTGTTCAGCCTCTGAGTCTGTGTTCGTGACAGCAGCCCCAGGAAACTCACACAGCAGCTTTCGCCAATAAATAGATTTTCCTATTTCTCAGAAAATTCTATAATATCCTGTATAAGTACATATTTTCCTGTACTGCTCAGGACACTGTCCTGATAAGAAGCTATCGATAGATAGAAAATCAATAGGTAGAAAAAGTTAAAATACTGGCTTTTTAACTAAAGATAATGTCTGGTGAAGGTTTGTTCTTAGAAGAGAAGTTTGCAAAGTGTTTCGTCCTGGCATCACTGGCGAGCGTCTTTGAAGATCTGCAAAGGCGCATGTTGGGCAGCCCCCCGGGAGCTTCCATTCACTTTCCCAGGGTTTCACGCCCCTGCCCTGCTCCCTGACGCTGGCAGGAAGGCCATCAGGTGCTCCGTGTGGGATGAATTGTGAGAATCCAGCGAGTGCAGGCAAGGGAGACAAATGAGAGTAACAGAGGCCGGAGGGGGACCTGGAGAGCCAGAGCCCTGGGGAAGAGAAAAGGGGAGCGATTAGAACAACGGGAAACAGATCAGCACAGAAGAGAGAAAAGACAGAACGAAGTTGTGCAGGAGGACTGAGAAGGCACCTGGAGACATGGGGAGGGAACGGCTGACTTCTTTCCAGCCAGAACTGAGGCTGGCCCTTGTCTGAGTCAGGCGGGCAGGGCCCGTGGGAGGGACAGAGACACCAGTGGGGTGGGGGTGTGCGGTGGTGTTGCCCTTTCCCACCCCAGGCCCCTACGATGTCGCCCTGCACAGGCTGCGTGGCTGTACTGAGTGTTTCCTTGAAAAACAACACGGTGCAATTTGGACTATCGCAGTTTCACTGGAAGTCTTTGAATACAAACCAAAGCCTACGTGTTTTTTTATACCTGATGTGTACATATATTCACAAAACAAAGCAATTCTTTTTTTCCCAGAAAGGCAGGAAGAAAACAAATGATCTCAAATGTGTCTTCTATGAACATTTTTGGCGGAGTTTGAACCATATTTTGTCTAGGCAGGCCTTGCACACCGGAAAGACCTCCGAGAAAACCTGTTTCTTCTCTTTCTCATGTGGTCTCTGGTTTACCAGCTAACAGAAATAACTTCAGGGGAAGAAAGAGACCATTGTCCCTTTACCTCTGGCTTCCTTAGTCAGGAATATGAGGTTTTAGAACTGTATCAAAACTGGACTGCATGATTGATTCTGCACCATTTACCAGCATTAGACTTGCCATGACTGTTAGATGTACTTGAAAGCTGTCCAGCTTCCTAGTCAATCCTTGCAGGCAACAGATGTCGGCCCTCTGGGTACTGCCAGTCAGCACAAATGCCTACTCTCAGGTTTGGAGAATCGAACTGGGGTGGTCAGGAGCTCCTGATCCATTCTCTGCCCAAGCCAACGTTTAATGTCTCCAAGTGGGTCTGTGAGCTCAGTCACTTCTCTGCAAGGCGTCAGTTATCCAGTGCAGAAGCCGTGACTGTCTACCCCTGTGTGCACGCGTGGGAGTGCGCTGACGGTGAGTGCAGGCCGGGCAGGGCTCTTCTTAAGTTGGATTCCAGGAGAGACTGAGTTAGAAAGCTTCTGCCTCTTCCTCATAGTTCTGTCTCAGAGTCATTGCTCTGTGGTTCACTTCGGTGTGCCGTGGGGCACATGTTGTCTGGCTCTGCTGGGCCGTCCAGCGTCTGAACCCCTCGGATCTGGGGAACCCCCTGCCTCCTGTGTGCCGTGGGGCACACATCCTCTCTGCTGGGCCGTCCAGCGTCTGAACCCCTCGGATCTGGGGAACCCCCTGCCTCCTGTGTGCCGTGGGGCACACATCCTCTTGCTCTGCTGGGCCGTCCTGCATCTGAACCCCTCGGATCTGGGGAACGCCCTGCCTCCTGCAAGGACATCAGATGCTCGATCCTCAGCTCCCTAAACTGAGGGCTCAGCTCTGCTAACGGCATGCTCATGACTTTTTAATCAGGAGCCATAGCTTTTAAACAACAGCAACCATGGAGAATTCTGTCTGCTTGATAAAGGACATAAAATCATGGAGTTTCTGGGTCAGGCGGCGGCAGGATACGCTGGACGCCTGCTGCTCCCGAGGACAGCTCTTGGCAGGTTCTGTGGTCAGCCGTGGAATATGGACTGAGACTGGAGCTGCTCCCGTGCAGAAGGCTCTCAGAACACTCAACCCCTTTTCCGTTCACATCTCCAGATAAAAGTTTCTGCAGTTCCAACGGTGACACCAGACTGACGCATCAAAGCCCATGGTCCACCATCAACTGTGGGTCAGGCCGGGCGCAGTGGCTCACACCTGTAATCCCAGCACTTTGGGAGGCCCAGGTGGGCAGATCACCTGAGGTCAGGAGTTCCAGACCAGCCTGGCCAACACGGTGAAACTCCGTCTCTACTAAAAATACAAAAATTAGCTGGGCCTGGTGGCAGGCGCCTGTAATCCCAGCTACTCGGGAGGGTGAGGCAGGAGAATCGCTTGAACCCAGGAGGCAGAGGTTGCAGTGAGCTGAGATTGTGCCACTGCACTCCAGCCTGGGTGACAGTGAGACCCTGTCTCAAAAAAATAAAATAAAACAAAACAAAAAATAACTGTAGGTCAATGCTGGGTGCAGTCCTGGGCCCTACTCTTAACACACGTAGAAGCTGCACAACACCCCCCGCCTGGAAGGCTCTCGTGAACAGCACTGGTACTTGAGTGAATCACCCATCAAATCTTGGAGACAGATGAGACCCAAATAGCCAGGCGCTCTCCAGAGACAGTGGCTGATGTTTCTGGCTTGTGGCTGCTATGGTAGGAAGGGCGTTGAGGTCCATGTTTAGCTGAGAAGGCTGCATGCCACACAGGTTACACACGCTCCTATCCACACTAACCCTCACTAGGTTCCTCTGTTAATGTCTAACGAGGCTGTGAACCAAACTAAAGAATGAAAGAGCCCAGAAAGTCATCTTTTTTCTAGATGAATCAGCTCAACTTGTGATTACCTGTTGAACCAGTTCAAACTAGATCCATCTTTTATTTCACTAAAACTCCTGAACCAAAACATAAGAGATATTTCAGAACCTGAAATCAACTCATTCTTTGAGGCTCTGACTTACAGGACAAGCACTGTTCTTTGCAAACAAGCCACAAGGCTGCATTCTCCGGACGAGGTGTAAATGGTGCTACCTGATGCATGATGGAGTGGCTGATAAAGGCAGTATTAATTCTTCTCTCCCCACCACACCCCTGCTCATGAGGCTTTTGGGTTCTTGACCACATTCTGGTAGTGTCCAGAGATGGCTCCCTCCATGCCACAGATGGATGTGGGAAGCCCCAGATTTACTGACTCATCCCAGGGGTTGTGGCCACACCTGGCTCACCAGGCTCCAGCGCCCGGGAGGAAATGAGGAATCGTGGAGGAACTCCGTGGACTCAGTCCCTCCGGGTCCAGGCCTTTGTGAATAACTAAGAGAGCCCAATGCTGCTCTCAGGATACAGCCTCACTGCTCTACTGGTGCTTCTCATAGAGAACATTTTGTGAAGGTAGAAAATGATGCTGCACGCCCACCTCGGCCTTCACAGACTCGGCTGGTCCACCCCATCTTCTCCTCTTCGTTCCCATCCTTCCTCACTCTGCCCTCTTCCTCTCTCCTGTGACCATCAGCCTCCATCTCTGACCCTCCCTCTAGGACACCTGGTGCTCCGGGGCCTCTTCTCCAGGGCTCCCTCTTGTCTCATAGACCTTTGCAAATTTCACCACAAAGTGCCCAGGCCCACCTCAGCGCTCCACTTGTCACATGTGGATCCGTTGGCCCTCCATGCTCAGCAGCACACGCACCCAGACGTCCGCACGCACACTCGCTCAAGCCTGGGCGTCTGTCCGTCACGCCCCTCTGCCCTGGGCTGAGGCAGATACTGGATTGACTATTTCCGTGAATCACAACCACACCATCAAAGCGGGGGCAGGGGCTTCTGCAGCTGGAGCAGAGAACAGGGCCAAGGGTGCCTCTGTCGTTTGTGGGCACATGTGTGCACTCACACGTGTGCATGTATGTGTGTGGTGTGTGGATACCTCTGTGCATGCTCATATGCATGTATATCTGTGGTGTGTGTGCTCACATGTGCACGCTCACATGGTTGTATTGTGTGGTGCATGTGTGCGTATGTGCATTTTGTGTGGTGCATGTGCACGTGTGTGCTCGTGTGTGCTCGTGTGTGTGCATGTGTACACGTGTGTGATGGAGGGAAGTCAGGAGGGGGCCACCTGTCTGAGGATGGATCAGGAGGGAAGCATCCCTGGGAAGGGAGCCTGAGGACAAAGCCAACCATGATCCAGTGGCCTGTGCCCCCGGTGTGCGCCGCCCAGCAGCTCTCGTCCCAGCTTGTCCAGGACGCACAGGCTCCTGAGTGGCAAGAAAGCCTCTCCTGTCAGCGGAATCCATGGTGGCAGAAGAGGCAGAGGTTGTTGGGAACTGTCCCTCTCTCTTATCTCTCCCCCTCCACAAAGAGGGACCGTGGAGCCACTCAATCTAACAGCAGATCAGGTTCCTACCATGCGCTGATTTGCAGAAAGGACTAATGTGCAGATTAAAACGGACACTGCTGAGCGAAGCAATTTCCACCCTGTGATATTTGAAAGTGCTGATAACTGCCATAGCAACCCGCTCACCACACTTCAGCTTCCTCTGGCCCCGGTCTTCACAGCTGCTGGCTGTGGCTGCAAGGTTAAGATGACGTTAGCTTTCTAAGGCTAGAGAGACTGTGCCTAGGACGCGCCATGGGAATGTAATGGTTCTAACTGTGAGGTTATATGGTGGAAGAGAGGCTACTGACAATGTATAATATGGTGGAAGAGAGGCTACTGACAATGTATAATATGGTGGAAGACAGGTTACTGACAATGTATAAGCTGAATAATTGTAGTTGCTGCTTTTGTGTATATTAAGCTTCTTTTCAAGATATAGAGAAATGTACTGAGGAGATAACTAGCCCCTAATACCCTATGCAGAAAACATAAACGGAGTCAGGGAAAACTGCCTATGCTTTGAGTTAGGATCAAGGGGAAAAGACGGTCTCTGTGGGGAATTGCCATGCTGTGCATAGTTGTAAGGGATGGAGGCCGCTTATCTCCTAGGCCGGTGAGGTGAGAGGGGCAGGAACCTGGGAGATGAGCATGAGATGCAGAAGCCCAGGAAGGGCGGCAGCTTTAGGCAACGCCACCGGGCCAAGTTCCACTCGCTTAAGAACCCGTCCTCCTCCAGTCACCCGACAAGCATTTTCTTTTTAACTAAGTCTGAATGGAACACAGGTCAGCACTTCTTCAGTCAGTGCTGCCACAAGTTAGGTGTCATGCCGGGAGAGAGACGTGGTTCCCGATAGGTCCACAGTCTCTATGATGGTAAAAATATAACAAACGATGACAGTAAAATATTACAGACACAGATACTGTGGTACACATTTGGAGGGAGTGCCAGCATCAGAGGGGTCAAAAAGGTTGATAGTGGCCTGATCTTTAGGCTTAATCTTAATGTGTGAGTCACATTCTCTCCAGAAGGAGGCTGGAGAGGGAGAAAGCGTGTCCCAGGCCCATGGTCCACAGAACGGCTAGGGAGAGGGAGACAGCCTGTTCCAGGTGCGTGGTCCACAGCCTAATGCACGAAGGACTTCAGGTCAGCATCTAATTGGGTAGAGCCACAGAGACTGCAAGGGCCCAATCATGGGGGTGTCAACTGCCACACCCAGTTTTATCCTACAGACCAGGGGTCAGCAAACCACAGCCCCTGGGCCAGATCCATCCCACGGCTTTTTTTTTTTTTTTTTTTTTTTGAGATGGAGCCTCACTCTTGCCCCGGCTCAGGTGCAGTGGCCCAATCTCAGCTCACTACAATCTTTGCCTCCTGGGTTCAAGCAAGCAGTTCTCCTGCCTCAGCCTCCTGAGTAGCTGAGATCCACCATGCCCGGCTAATTTTTTTGGTATTTTTAGCAGAGACGGGGTTTCGCCATGTTGGCCAGGCTGGTCTTGAACTCCTGACCTCAGGTGATCTGCCCACCTCAGCCTCCCAAAGTGCTGGGATTACAGGTGTGAGCCACCACACCCAGCCCACGGCGTGTTTATCTGAATAAAGTTTTACTGGGACACAGCTACGCCCATCCATTTGCATACTGTTCATGGTGGCTTTCATGCAGCCACGCCCATTCATTTGCATACTGTCTATGGTAGTGTTCATGCTACCACAGCACTCAAACAGTTCCAGCCAAGATCACATGGCCCGCAAAGCTTGAAATATTCACTATCTGACCCTTTAAGAAAGTTTGACAACCCCTACACAGGAGACAGACAGTTGTTAAAGGCTTTTTAAAAAGTTGATTATTTGGATTTCATCAAACTTTAAAACCACTTTTCCTCCTACGACACTGTTAAGATTTAACAACTTCTGATTCTGACGAGACAGCACAGACTCCTCCCTCCCTGCTCCTCCCCATGAGGTGACAATCAAAGGAAGGGTCTGACAGGTGGGAGGGGGAGAGCAGATAGTGGGGAGGCCCTGAGGACTTGAGGAAAGGCAGCATCCGAGTGCTCCCACCCCCACCTGCGGGCAGAAGGCAGCCCAGGCCCAGACCTCCAGCTTACTCAACCCCACCAAGCGGCAGAAACCAGCCCAATCTTTCTTGGATACTTTTCTGCTCTGTCCATGGTGCCTGCAGAGGTCAGCCAGGAGCCTCTGCAGCACTGGGTGGTCTGGTGGAGTCTCCACCCACAGTCCTGGGGTCTACTGACTCCTACTGAGCACCAGCAAGTGGCCCTGGGAAGCACCTCAGCAGCCACGTCAGCTGGAACAACCAGGAGCCCCTCTGGCATGGGTGGCCCAGAAAGCACTCCCCACCCACAGGCCCAGCGTCCCACCCCACACCCATGGGCACCAGTGGCTCAGGAGAGCACCAGCGGGCAACACCAGCAGGAATCAGGTGACACAGACAGGGACTGAGCAGGACAGCTACAGGCACCAGGCAGCACAGGAAAACCTTTCTGGCCCAGGGCCCACCAGGCAGCGCTGGAAGGACTTTCCACCACAAACCGTGCCCACCCCCAGGGGTGCCAGCAAGGATGAATAGGGCCCATCAACACCAGGTGACCTGGATAAATGTTCTCCCCCTCACAAGCCCAGGGTCTCCCTCCTCCCCCTACACACACCGTGAGGCCTGGGGAAGCACTGTCCACCCTGCAACTCAGGGTTTCTCACCCACCTCCCAAAAACTAAGAAGCACCAGGAGACTTGAGGAAATGCACTCCACCCTTCTGAGTGGCACTAGCAAACAGTGAGCATTCTGCCAACACCAAGTGGCCTGAGAGGTGCCCTCCTGCAGGACCAGAATCACCCCCCACTCAAAGACAATAACAATTACAAATACTCTTGAACAAAGTGAAAAAGGAGAAAGACTTAGCAAATAAATAGAAGATACAAAAAGAATCAAACAGAAATTGTGGAACCCCAAAATACAACTGAAACAAAAAAAAAACTCAATGCATGAGCTCAATGGCAGAATAAATATACCAAAGAGAGGATCAGTGAATTTCATGATAGAACAATAGAAACTACACAGTCTGACCAACAGAGAAAAAAAATAGATTTAAAAAAAAATGAACTGAGCTTCAAGGACCAATGTAACAATAACAAAAACAAAATCAAAATTCATGCCATCAGAGTCCCAGAAGGACAGGAGAAAGTGTGTGGGGCTGAGAAAATGATTCAAAGAAATCATAGCTGAAAATTGGCCAAATTTGGCAAAAGACATAAACCTAAAGACTAAAGAATCTTGGTAAGTCCCAAGCAGGATAAACCCAAAGAAATTCATGCCAAGACACATTGTAACTAAACTTCTAAAGACTACAAACTAATAAAAACATGTTTAAAAGCTGCCAAGCCTGTAATCCCAGCACTCTGGGAGGCCGAGGTGGGTCGATCACGAGGTCAGGAGATCGAGACCATCCTGGCTAACATGGTGAAACCCCGTCTCTACTAAAAAAATACAAAAAATTAGCCGGGCATGGTGGCAGGCACCTGTAGTCCCAGCTACGCGGGAGGCTGAGGCAGGAGAATGATGTGAACCTGGGAGGCAGAGCTTACAGTGAGCGAAGATATGCCACTGCACTCCAGCCTGGGCAACACAGCGCGACTCCGTCTCAAAAAAAGAAAAAGAAAAAAAAAAGCTGCCAAGAAGAAGCAGCATATTACCAACAGTGGAAAACCTACTCAAATATAGCAGATTTCTAATCTGAAACCATGGAGGCCAATAGAAGGTGGTACAGCAGTTTTCAAGTGCTAAAAGGATTGTCAACCCTAAATTTTATATCCAGCAAAAATATCCCTCAGGAATGAGGGAGGAATAAAGATGTTTACAGATGAAAATATATAAAGGGATGTGTTGCTAGTAGACCTATACTTAAAATGTGGCTAAAGGAAGCTCTCCAAACAGAAAGGAAATTAGAGTAAGAGGAGACTTGGGACCTCAGAAAAGAAGGAAGAACATATAAATAGGTAAAAATAGGGATAAATAGGACACATTATTCTTTTCCTCATGAGTTTTTAAAATCATATTTGATGGTTGAAGCAAAAATGAGAAAACCATCCGATGTGGTTGATGTATGCAGAGCAAATACTTGAGACAATTTTATTGTCAGAGCAATACTCATGACAATATTTTAAAAGTAGAAAGAACAAATTGAACTAATTGAAAGTAAGTTTTGTACATTTCACTCAAAGTGCTAAGACAGATACTGATACCAGTAGATTGTGATGTTGTGTATGTATATTGTAATACTTAAAGCAACTAATAGAAATTATATGAAGCAGTATACTCATAAACACTATAAATAAATCAAAATGGAATTGTAAAAAAAAGTCCAAATAACATATAAGGCAAGAAAACAGAAATGATAAAGGAAACAAATAGACAACAGTCTTAAGTCCTAACATATCAATGATTACTTTAAATGTAATTAGTCTAAATATAGCAATTAAAAGTCAGCAACTGGCAGGATGAATTTTTTAAAAACCTGACCCAACTATATGCTGCCTACAAGAAACTCACTTCAGACACCCTTATCTTTTTTCTTAACTTGAAACAAAAAGGATAAGGATGGAAAAAGATATATCATGCAAACATTAATTTAAAAAAGCAAGCCAAGTATGGTGGCACATGCCTGTAGTCCCAGTTACTAGGGAGACTGAGGCAAGAGGATTGCTTGAGCCAGGGGTTCAAGGCTGTAGTGAGCCATGATCGTACCACTGCACTCCAGCCTGGGTGACAGAGAGAGACACTGTTTCAAAATATAGAATAAAATAAAATAAAATAAAATAAATAAAAATTTAAAGCCAGAGTAGCTATATTAATATCAAAAAAATGTAGACTTCAGGGCAAATAAAATTACTAGGGATAAAGTGGGACATTACATGATGATAAAAGGATAAATGAGAAGACATAATGATCCTAAATATGTATGCACCAAATGACAGAGCTTCAAAATACATGAAGCAAAACAAGGTTGAAAGAATAAATAGACAAATCCACAATTATACTGAGAATTTCATCACCCCACTCTCAACAATTTATAGTACAAGAAAAATTCATCAAAAATATAAAAGAAAGCAATATTGACCAATGAGATCTATTGAATTTTACAGAAGACTCCATCCAATGACAGCAGAATACAGATTCTTTGTATGCACTCATCAAACTTGTAACAAAATAGAACATATCCTGGGCCATAAAAGCAAAACTTGGGAAATGTTAAATAATTGAAATCATGCAGTATGTTCTCTGACCACAGTGGAACAAACGAATAGCAGAATTAGAATCAATAGCAGAAAGAACAGGAAAACATCCAAGTGCTTGAAATTAACAACATACTTCTAAATGAACCATACGTCAAATGGAAAGTTTTAAAAGAAATTTAAAATGCATGGAACTGGATACAAATTAAAA
This sequence comes from Homo sapiens, assembly GCF_000001405.40. NCBI lineage: Eukaryota > Metazoa > Chordata > Mammalia > Primates > Hominidae > Homo > Homo sapiens. Next base: position 1,144,655 of record NC_000010.11, on the reverse strand, counting down.
TAAACACACCAAAATGTGTGGGATATCACTAAAGCAATTCCAACAGGGAAATTTATAGCACATAACATTTATATTAGAAAAGAAGAAAGAAATCAATCATTTAAGTTCTTACCTCAAGAAATTAGAAAAGGCAAAGTAAATCCAAAACAAGCAGAAAGGGGAAATAACAAAGATAAAAATTGAAATTAATTAAACTTAAAAGGAAAACAAGAGAGAAAATCAATGAGACAAAAAGCTACTTCTCCATCCCCACACCCCCAAAAGGAAATCAATAAAATTGATAGACCTCTAGCTAGGCTGACAAAGATAAACAGAAGGTACAAATCACCAAAATTACAAAATAGAGGATATCACTACAGATCCTGGAGCCAGCCACAGGATAGGAGAAAGTACTTGCAAAAGACACGTTTGATAAAGGACTGTTATCCAAAATATACAAAGAACTCTTAAAACTCAATAATAAGCTACTCGGGAGGCTGAGGCAGGAGGACAGCATGAACCTGGGAGGCGGAGCTTGCAGTGAGCCAAGACCGTGCCAGTGCACTCCAGCCTGGGTGACAGAGCGAGACTCTGTCTCAAAAAAAAAAAGAAAAGAAAATAACCCAACTTAAAAATGGGCCAAAGGTCTGAACAGACACTTCACCAGAGAAGATATACAGATGGCAAGTAAGCACATGAAAAGATACTCATCAACATATGTCATTAAGGAATTGTAAATTAAAACAACAATGCGATAATGAGATACTACCATACACCTATTACAATGGCCAAAATCCAAAATACTGACAATACCAAATGCTGGCAAGGATATGGAGCAACGGGATCCTTCATTCGCTTCTGGTGGGAGAGCAAAATGGTGCAGCTACTTTGAAAGGTAGCTTATTAGTCCGTTTTCACGCTGCTGATAAAGACATACCCAAGACTGGGAAGAAAAAGAGGTTTAATGGACTTACAGTGCCACAAAGCTGGGGAGACCTCACAATCATAACAGAACGCAAGGAGGAGCAAGTCTTACATGGATAGTGGTGGGCAAAGAGAGAGTTTGTGCAGGGGGAACTCCTCTTTTTAAAACCATCAGATCTCTTGAGACTCATTCACTATGACGAGAACAGTGCAGGAAAGACCCACCCCCGTAATTCAATCACCTCCCTCCAGGTTCCTCCCACAAAACGTGGGAATTGTGGGAGTTACAATTCAAGATGACATTCAGGTAAGGACACAGCCAAACCATATCTGGTAGTATGGCAATTTCTTAAAAAACTAAACATACTTTTACCATATGATCCAAAAGTTGCTGTTCTTGGTATTTACCCAAAGAAGTTGAAAATTTATGTCTACACAAAGACTTGCACACAGATGTTTATAACATTTTTATTCATAATTGCCAAAACTTGGAAGCAACCAAGATGTCCTTCAGTGGGTGAATGGATAAACTCTGGGACATCCAGACAATGGAATATGATTCAGTAGCAAAAAGAAATGAGTTACCAACCCATGAAAAGACATGCAGGAACCTTAAATGCTTATTGCTAAGTGAAAGAAGCCAATATGAAAAGGCTACATGCTGTAGGATTCCAACTCTGACATTCTGAAGGCAAAACTATAAGTGAAGGTAATTTTTAAAAAAATCAGTGGCTGCCAAGGCTGAGGAGAGGGAGGGATGAATAGGTGGAGCACAGAGGTTTCTTTGGAGCAGCAGCACTACTGTGCATGATACTAAAATGATGGATCCATGTCATTATACATTTGTCCAAACCCATAGAATGTCCAAAACCGAGAGTGAACCCTAATGTAAACTGTGGATTTGGGGTGATAATGATGTGACAATGCTGACTCTTCAATTGTAATGAGTGCACCCTCTGGTGGGGGATGCTGACAGTGGAGGAGGCCACGCATGTGTGGGGGCAGAGGGATATGCAACAACTGTGCATTTTCTGCTCAACTTTGCTGTAAGCCTAAAATTGCCCTAAAAACTAACATCTAAAGATAAAATGGTTTGGTAGAGGGATAGAGAATAGACGAATATGTGATAAAACAGGAATGTAAAATGTTAATCATAAAGTTAAGTGGTGGAAATATGGGCTTTCACTGAAAAAAAATCTTTCAGTTTTTCTGTAGGTTTGAAAATTTTCATAATAAAATGCTGTGGAAAAATAAATGTTGATATCATGAGTTTCTGCCATCCAGGACATCCATGCCATCCAGGTGGCAGAGTCTGGGGATCTGCACAGAAGTTGGCTCAAAGAGAAAATTTAGAAAGTGGCCAGCATGCATTTCATAGGGTGCAAATTCAAATTCCTGCAAGAGTTCCGGCGGTTAAGGATGATGCTGACCTGGTCCTGGCTCAGGTAACTAGACAGGGTGGCCCCTCTGCAGCTCCACCAGTTGCAATGTGGAGATGCTGGCCCAGTTTTGTCTGGTATTCTAATATTTGCAAGAAAAGTCAAAAATCTGAATTTTAAACCTTTTGCTTCATAAATGTTGGTAACATTTAAATATTAGTTTAAAAAAATACCAGAGACTATGTCTGAAGGCACCCTTGGGAGTGGTCTTTGGGGTCTGGTAAGGCTCTTTCCTTACAAAATCAGCAGGGAGGATCGCCTCACTGGCCACTCATTCAGGAGAGCTGCCCCAGCCCCACCAGTCGCTCACTCAGGAGAACTGCCACGGTCCCACCAGTCGCTTACTCTGGAGAGCTGCCCCGGCCCCTCTGGTCACTAACTCAGGAGAGCTGCCCGGGACCCTCCAGTTGCTCACTCAGGAGAGCTGCCCGGGCCTCTCCGGTCACTCACTCAGGAGAATTGCCACAGTCCCCACCAGTCGCTCACTCAGGAGGGCTGCGCTAGTCATGCACTGTTTTCTGACAGCGTTGAACCCACTCTCCAGAGCATCCAGTCATTTACAGAGCTACTGGAAGAGACACCATTTTAAATGGATTCTTCATCCCACAGGCAGTCGTTACTTGGATGGAATATTGTGGGGTTCCTCTTTCCTGGCACATTTGGAAATCTTTGAAATACAGAACATAACCACGAACTAGAAAATTAACAGGAAATACATACTGCTTCCCAAATACATCAAACGTGGAGTGAGTTCCTTACAGTGGATACTGACAATTCCTGGGCAATCTCTATTGCAGGCCTGCTGTGTCGCCCACGGTCGGCATTTCACCCTTTCCTGAAGTAGCTATGCAAGAACTGGAGATACCTTCAGTGCCTGCTGGAGGGGCCTAACCCAGAAAGGGCAACAGTGTGGTCCTCCCTTGTTCAGTGGGCTCAAGTCCATATGTGACTTCAAAAGATGCTGCAAAACCATGCAGTGAAGCTAAAAGTAACAACGCAAGCACAAGACTTCAGCTAAAAAATGAAAAGAAAGAAAGAAATGGAAGCACAACGCTGCTTCAGCCTGTTTTAGTTTGGGCAAGGAATATCATTAATCAGTCCCTCAAGACATCTTAGCTGTTGGTAAGAAAATAACACCTTTCATAAACAAACTTATCTACAAGGAGAGAAATGTAAAGCCAGAGGCTGGGAGCGTCGTTAAATGATTCCGTTGCTGAGGACAGCATGTGGCCTGGGACAGACAGCAACAGCAGAAAGGCACGAAAGAGAAGAAAATCTGTGGTGGCTGGGAGGAGAGGTTTGCTGAGAGCCTTGCCACCAGGACACCCTGGCCTCATGGAAAGGTACCAAGCCCCGCACCACCCAGCCCCATTCTCTTTTTTCAAATGGGCTGGAAAAGGGAAGCCTGACATAGGAGCTGTCTGAGCACCCACGGCTGCATCTGATGGCACTGAATTAGGATAATTAATCATCCCCCTGCATTTCCCAAACAGAGGCACATTTCAACCACTCCAGATTATGATGTTTTAAATTTAAGTTCAATTTTACATTTGAAAAATACACATTCCATTCTTGAGAAAAAAAAACAGAAAATAACTGTAAAGTAACTGTACAATGTTTCATAAAGATAAAGGGCTATGAAACATGGTTTCATTCTGGTAAAGATGACTTTTATGTTTTTGTGACTATTTTTCCTAATGTTTTCACTTAAAAACAATAGCAACAATAACAACAACCAAAAAACAAACAAAAAAAACACACAATGTGTCACCTATTTTAAAAGTTCCCAACTATGCAGTTAGATATGGAAATGTAATTTTGAAACTTCGATTTAAATCAAAGATCTCAGCTTCCACCTTAAGTGAAAAAAGAAGAACAAAGTAAACTCAAAAGTAATGAGAAGAAAGGAAATAATAAAAATCAGGGCAGAAAACAATAAAATACCAAACGAAATAGAAAAATCAATGAACCAACATTTTGTTCATTAACAGTATCAATCAAATTGATAGACCTTCAGCCAGATTAATCAGGAAACAAAGGAAGACATAATTACCAATATCAGGAATGAGAGAGGTGACATTATTATAGATTCTACAGATATTAAAGGATGAGAATGGAATAATATGAACAACTTTATGCCAATAAATTCAATAGTTTAGGTGAAATGAAAGAATTCCTTGAAAAACATAAGCTGTCAACATTTAACTCAAGTAGAAATCAATAACCTGAATATCCCCACATCTAATACATTTAACTTATAGTTTAAAACCTTTTCACAAAGAAAACTCCATATCCATATTGCTTCACTCATGAATTCTACCAAACATTTAAGGTAAAAATAATACCAATTCTACACAAACTCTTTCAGAAAACTGAAGAATAGGGAAAGCTTTCCAACTCTATGAGGCCTGCATTACGCTGATACTAAAATCAGACAGAGACTTCAGAAGAAAACTGCAGCCCAGTCTCTCTCATGAACATAGACACAAAAATCCTTAACAAAATAATTGTAAATCAAATGCAACAATATAAAAAATAGTACAGTATGTCAAAACTGGGTTTATCTTCAAAAATGCAAGGTTAACATTCATAAATCCATTAATATAAATCATATTAACAACCTATAAAAGAAAAACAACATGGCTATCTCAATAAACACCAAAAAAATCGGAAAAAATATCCTACATCCCTTTCTGTTAATAACTCTTCAGCAATCAGTGAAGAGAACTCCTTCAACTTGATGAACATCTGTGGAAAACATAGAGCTAATATCCTAATTAATGGTGATATACTGAGTGCTTTCTCTTTCAGATCAGGAACAACATGGAGTTCACCTTCCCCACTTTGGTCATACATTGTAGTAAGGGTTCTCACCATCACAGTACATCAAAGTAAGAAAATAAACCAACTGCTACTATCCCAAGGTACAAAATCTGACAGAACTTGTACTAAAAGTAATTATAACTAACTGGTAAATTTTTTTCAAACTGCAGGATACAGATAAATGCACATATTTCCTCTGTTTTTGTCTCGGAAACTATTTCTCCCTCACTTTTGCAGGACAATTCTCTGGACACAAAATTCTTTATTGATGGTCGTTTCTTTCCAGACTTTAAACATTTCACTCTATTCTCTTCTTAGTTGCATTGGTTCCTGACATCTGATGTCATTATTATTATCGTTCCTCCATAGATAAAGTATTTTTGCCCTGAATTCTTTCAAGATTTTCTTTTTGTCTTTGGTTTTCTGCAGTTTGAATATAATGTGCCTAAGTGTTGACCAAGTCTCTTGGTATTTATCTGTTTGGTATTTATTCCCTGAGCTTTCTTGATTTGTAGTCTGGTTTTTCCTATTAATTTTGTAAAGGTTTCAACTATTACTTTACATCTTTCACCTCATCCTTTCTCTTTCTCCTCCTGGTATTCCCAAACACACATATTTTATCTTTTGTGATTGTGCCACAAATCTTGGATACCATTCTGCCTTTTTCATTCTTTTTTCACTTTGCTTTTCAGTTTGAGTGGTTTCTATTGACCTGTCTTGAAGTTCACTGATGCTTTTCTCAGCCATGTGTAGTCTGCTAAGAGCCAATCAAAAGCATTCTCCATTTCTATTACAGTGTTTTCTATTTCTAGTATTTTTATTCTTAGGATTTCCATTTATCTGCCTACATTACCCAACTGTTCTTGCTTGTTGTTCACTTTTCCCACTTGAGCCCTTGGCATACTCATCATAGGTGTTTTTAAATTCGTGTCTGCTAATTCTAGTGTCTCTGCCATATCTGAGTCTGCTCTGATATTTTGTCTCTTGTGTTTTGACTTTTGGCATGCCTTCTCATCTTCAGCTGAAAGCTAAACATGATGTATTCAGCAGAAGGCACTGAGGTAAGCAGGCCTTTGGTGTGAGGTTTTATGCCTCTGTCTAGGAGGGAGGCTGGGCTCATTGTCTGCTGTAGCTGCAAGGCTCCAATCTCCTCTGGTGTCTTTGCTTTTGCCTCCCCTGTTGTCTTGATTTCCCTTGAAACTCCTTCTTAAGTAGAGTCAGAGCTGTGGCCCCCTTGACTGTCCTTATTCAGGAGCTGTGTAGTTGTGAGGCCAGGTAGAAGAGGGGAGGGGAGGGGAGGGAAAGGGAAGGGGAGGGGAAGGGGAGGGGAGGAAAAAGGAAGGCAGGGGAGGGAAAGGGGAGGGGAGGGGTCTGTAGTCCCATGATTTGGTCTTGTGTTTTCAGGGGGCCTGCACACGTCTGTGGCTGTGACCTTCACAAATGATCCTCAAGGTACTGCCCCCTGAGACAGGAAGGCTAAGAGGCTGCAGCCGAGTGATTTTCCCTCCCCCCAGGTCAGATGTGCTGGTGAAGGCCTTGCCCTTGCAGAGTGGGTCTGTAGGGAGAAAGCGCTAGCTGAATCCACAGTCACCTTCCCTCCCCTCACCACACAGGAGGGGGTCCTTCTCCCGTCTTCACCATAGGAACTTGGTGGTGCTCCTGGAAAGAGAACCCATGAAACTGAGGCAGCCAGCAGACCAGACATCTGGGAGCCCTCCGTCCGCAGCCAGCCCCAGCCTCTGTCAATGCCTCCATGGCCCCATGTGGGGTCCCGAGCCATTTCTGGCTGCAGCAGCTGCTCTTCCGGAAGCCATCATTCTCTGTATCTGCCTGTTTCTCCGGTTTTGGGTCACCAGTTTGCCCTGTGACCACAACTCTCTGTTGTGATCTAAGAAAAATCACTGTTTTCTGTTTTTTGCCTTTTTATGGTGAGGGAGAGAGAAACGACTTCCAAGCTCTTTCACATGTTGGAATGGAAACCAGAGGTCTCTAGAATGGTCACACTGGGAAAGGTATGGCAGGCTCTCAAAGTTCAAAATCAGCATTTACAGGAATTCGCCCAGGAGAATGAAAACATGTCACCACAGAGACTTGCACACAAGTGTTCATACCAGCTTTATTTGAAATAGCCAAAAACTGGAAACAATCTAAATGTCCATCGGCAGGTAAACAGATGAATGTGGTTTATCCACACGACAAAATCCTACTCACAATGAGAAGAAATAGATTGGGATATGCAATAAAATTAATCTTTCAAAATAATTTTTCTAAGTGAAAGAAACCAAAAAATACATACTGTATAACTGCATTTATACAAAATTATAGAAAATGCAAATTAATCTCTAGTGACAGAAGGTAGACCAGTGCTTCCCCAAGGGTGGAGTGGGGGTGAGGAGGGGCAGTGCAGGGAACACGGAAGGGCCCGGGTGACTTCCTTGGGGGATTGTGCATGATTTCGATTGTGGGGATGATTTCATGGTAAATGCCTGTCAAAGGAAATCACGTTTTATACCTTAAATATGTCTGGTGTGTTGTCTGTTACACCAGAATACCAGAACAAAGCTGTTTCAAAAGAGAGGAAAACTAAAATTAGCTCCTTCAGACAGGGAGTGGTCAGAGAACATATACAATTAATTTTATTACTGAAAAAGAAAGAAAATAACGTTTATCAGTAGAACATTTTTGTATTATGGAGCTAGAAAACTCCATAATACTTCAGGAGCTAGAAAACTTTTGTAATGCATATGCATTATAGAAAATGATTATATGTTTAGCCAATATTCTAGAACTTATCCACCTATGCAATGAAATGCTGTTTTCCCAAAACACAGACTGAAAATAAAAATTTTTATTCCAATATGTGGCCATTGCTCAATAACCATTTTTGGACTGTCTCCTGGATTTGAAATGATTTTCAGTCCCAGTTTATGAGCAACATTAGAAAACTACTTTTATTGTTTTATGATCACACCTGGCAAATGAAATCCTTATTACATTTCCTACTTTAAAGCTGGGATTTCTAAAATGTATTTGAAAGCAGCCCAGTTTTGACACAGTGTAACACACTGCCTTTCAACAACTTCCTCAGTGACCATTTTCTCAAGGACATTATCTTGGAGCAAAATTGGCTTTGTGTTTCCTCCTATGAAATGTGCACACTGCCTGAATATCAGATAGCTTAGAATAATAAAACTACATGTTTATAAATGGAAAAAGTACTAATATGTGAAGTGAATAAAATATGGCTCTTCAATGATGAGTTTAAAACTGATGCTATCAAAAAATATTGGTATAAATCCCCCATCTTATCAGCACTCACTTTATCCATCTTTGGAATAACACACACTTTCTCTTTAGAATTTCTTACTCTTTTAATTATATAATATTAGGTACACTGAAGGAATAGTATAAAAAATTCCTTCTAATTGTAAAGTATTATAAAGTATGAATACTCAGATTGCTTGAGCCCAGGAGTTCAAGACCAGCCTGGGCAACATGGCGAAACCCTGACTCTACAAAAACATACAAAAATTACCCAGGTGTGGTGGCATGCATCTGTAGTCCCAGCTACTAGGGAGGCTGATGTGGGAGGATCGATTGAGCCCAGGAGGTCGAGGCTGCAGTGAGCCATGATTGAGCCAGTGCGCTCCAGCCTGGGTGACACAGTGAGACACTGTCTCAAAAAAAAAAAGAAACAAAAAACAAAAAAACATGTTCCCACCATCCAAATTGAGAACCAAACACTGCCAATTCTGAGCTCTTCCCAATCCTACCCTCTGCCCCCAAAATAGGTGACCACGGATTAGATAGACGGACTGGCAGACGTGGTTTGGTTTTGCTTGTTTTTGTACTTTATGAAAATGGTTTCATATGTCTGTGGTCTTCAGTGCCTATGTTTTCATTCCACATTATGTTCCTAAGATCAAGGATTGAGTGTAGCGTGGTGTTCTCCGATTTTACCGCTCTGTGCTAACTCTGTGTAGATTTGCCAGTTTACCCCTGTGGATGTTTGTGTTGTTTCTAGTTTGATGCTATCACCCTGCACAGTCTCCCAACACATGTTCAAGTTCTTTAGAAGAGTGGTTCTCAAACTGGACAGCAGAATCCCACGTGAGAGCATGTTTATTATAAAAGGCAGGTCACCATTCCCCAGAGATTCTGAGTCAGTAGCTTCTAGAGACCCAGAGGTCTCCATTTTAACAAACACTCAAGACGATTCTAATGCAAATGCTCTAGACATTACAGCATAATCAACCGTATTCTAAACACACACCTAGTGTGCTGGGCACAGAGGTATGCACACAGCCAGACTTCCAAGATAATGTTTCCAAAGTTGCTGTATTACTTTAGGCCCCAACCAACAGGGTGCAAAGTTCCAATAGTCTATATATGCTCCACAGATTTTCCCTCCAATCTAATGACTGTGAAATGGCATTTCATTTTGGCCTTAATTTTCAAGTTCTCAATTTCTGTATTTTGTTATTGGCTACTCATATTTTCTCTTTTGTTACATACCTATTCAGGTCTGCTGTTCAATTTCCAATTCTCCTATAGATATATAAAATCTTATTTTGTTCACTATCCTGGATAGCAGTCCTTTGTGAATTATATATGTTGCAACTACCACTTGTGGTTTATCATTTCACCCTAACGGTGTCTTATAATGAACAGAATCTTTTAATTTTAATGTAGCTGAATTCATCCATCTTTTCTAGTATGCTTAATGCATTTTTAAAGAACTTTAATAAATCTAAAGTTATAAAAACAATTTTAATTTTGATGTTTCTCCTTTAAAATTTAACAGTTAATGCTGGAATTCATTTTTGTTTGGTGTGAGGTATGGATCCAAATAGATTACTTCATTTCATGTGGAAAACAAACAGTACTAGAACCATTAACTAAATAGGTCACTGTATTAGTCAGGGTTCTCCAGAGAAACAGAACCAATAGGATGTATATAGATACACAAAGACTTGTGATGAGGGACTGGCTCATGTGATTATGGAGGCTGAGAAGTCCTGCAGTCTGTCATCTGCAAACTACAGGCCCAAGAGAGCTAGTGGTGGTGTTCCAAGCCAAGTCTGAAGGCCTGAGACCCTCCCACCCCCAATCAATCATGCCTAGACAGGGTGTCACATACCAGGGCATGACCACTCCGACAGCATCCATGTGAGAGGTAGACGTGGTGCCCAGGTGAGAGGGAGGCAGAGTCTGTGGAGTGGGGGGGGGGCAAGGTGCTCATCAGCATGGGTGACAGATGAACTTAGCTAAGATAATGGTGTCTCCAAGTTGTGACTGACATTTCCTAACTCATCATCAACTCTTTAAGGGGAAAATCCTGATCATATATTTTAGGTTGTCAGTGCTTGAAACATCTTTTGAGTACACTAAGAAATGCCTGCACAGTCAATACCTTTCCTATTCTGAACTGTAGAATGAAGAACACTTCTTTCCAGCAAGAACTGCCTGTTCTAACCCTTAGATCTCAATCCATCCTCTTTCTCCATCCTACTGCCAACAACAGCCCGGGCAACCAACATCCTTCACCTGGATGACTGGGCAGTCTCCCCACTTCTGATCTTCACCCTTTCAGGTGCAGAGGATGAAATCCACACTCTTCCCCAGAGCTTCTGGGTGGGACGGTGCCTGCATGTCACCCCAGCCCCCCGGGGCCACCACATTTCACCTGCACTCTGGTCACTCTGATCTCAGCACCTGAAGTGTGCCAAGCTCACCTTGTTTTTGCTTATGGCACTCTGCTCACTGGAAACTCTCCCCACCACTTCCTGGTGCCTTGACTAACCTCAGAGAAGCCTCCATGACCAGATACCCAAGGAAGCTCCTCACTATTCTCCACTCAGCCCACAAACCAACAGGCCCCAGGAAACTCTAGCTTGACTTCCACACAGAGCTCCTGCATCTCCAAAGACCTGCTTAGTTCATTTTCATTTTGACCAAAAGCTGCTTAATAAAAGATATTCTACTAAAATTAATTTTAAATTACACAAGACTTTTGGCCAGGCGCGGTGGCTCAAGCCTATAATCCTAGCACTTTGGGAGGCAAAGGTGAGCAACTGCTTTAGCTTAGAAGTTCGAGACCAGCCTAGACAACACAGTGAGACCCTGTCACAAAAAAAAATTTTTTAATTAAAAAAAAAAAATCACACAAGACTTTTGGCTAATTTCATTTTCAGCTTCTTCCCACTATAAGATGAATTGTATATGTTACATATAATAAATTCAGGTGTTCCCAAATTTTAGCATAGTTTTTTAAATTCTAAGTTATTAGGGAAAAACAGTAAACCTATGGATAGTAAGGGAGACCAGTGCCCTGGCGTTTTGGTGAAATCACAGCAATGTGTAAGCATTTCTATCTGGATTCTTGATACTAATAGAGCATGAACTTTTAAATTCACTGAAGATGTAACATTATGAAATTTAGACAATAATCGCAGGCTATTTAAGGAGGAAGGTGAGAAAGTTAAGTAACCAGTGGAGAAATGGTCTGCCTTTCTGGGTGTGAAGATACTCCCAGCGCCAATGCAGCTTAGGCAGTGGCCTCGCCAGCGTGAAGGAGCCACTATCTGCTCAAGCAAGAACCCTCCCAGACTCTCCACCTGCTGAGACCGCAGCAGCCTCAGCCTCAGCCACAGCCACGGCCTGGGCCTCAGCCTCAGCCTCAGCCACCACCACAGCCACAGCCCTGGTCTCAGCCTCGGCCACAGCCTCAACCAAAGCCTCCGCCCCAGCCTCAGCCTCAGCCCCAGCCTCAGCCCCAACCTAGGCCTCAGCCTCAGCCACAGCCACAGCACCAGTCCTGGTCTCAGCCTCGGCCTCAGCTTCAGCCATGGCCTCAGCCACAGCCTCAGCCTCCACGCGTGGGTCAGACATGGCCATGCACCAGGAGCCCCCAGGAGCCACTCCCAGTCTGGTTTGCATTCTCCCACAGAAAATGGCACCTACTTTCTGTAACTGTATTTTTTTTTAACTTTCAAACAAGCTTACTGCAATGAGAACGGTATGAGCATTTTATTATACTGAGGAACTTTACCAAAAATTATGTCAAACTGTTAACGCTTTTGGAAGTTTTCAGGCTCCTGATGAGGGATGAAGCAACATAATTATGTATTGTTTAATGTTAGCATAAGAGACAGACACAAAACACAACTGACTTTTTAAGTCTAAAAATTTTTCGAGTGACCAGTATTATATTTGTTCAATTTCTAGCTCATCGTGATGTTTATATAGTCATTCACAATGTTTCACCAAAGCAAAACATGAAAAACTATAAAAATAATAAGACTCCCAATAACACAAAGCTTTTATAATAGTAATTATGGAACATGGACATTTTAATGAATTTCATATTGCAATGAAGACAGTCAACACTTAGAGACAATTATATCGATACAATAAAAACTGATTCCATGGAACACTTATAAATGCATACATTTTCCTCCAAAGAAATATGTTTTTCACAGACTTAAGTAACAAATGATTTACATAGGATTCTTCAGATTCCAAAATATGTACAGAGTTTTTGTCTCTACAGAAACTGATGAGCAGTGGTTGAAAAAGAGTTGCTTTGCCCAACAGCATGGCTCTTATGAAATTCTGTATCATATACAGTTTTCAGTAACCACACATTTTCCGTCTATCATTAAATGAAATTCTGGACACATCAGCATACAGGACAAAACTGTTCCCACTTCCAAACACTGTTTCAGACGAGATCACGTGTGGTTGACAGTATGACTTAATTTAGCCACACACACGTGCACACACACACACACACACACACACACACCATCCCCGATCTTGTCTGTGACTCCTGATCACCACGCTGCAGCAGCAGTGGATGAGCTCACATTAGAAGACGACACAGCAGCGAACAGCAAGGTGCCCCGGCTCCTGAGAGCTCTGCCTGAGCACCACAGGGCTGCGCCCCCAAGGACATGCAGGAGTCCAGTTTCTGAGGTCCCTCCAGTTTGCCAGACAAGGTGAGCAGCTGTGGCAGTAAAGGGCACCAGTGTGCCTGGAACTCAGTGGCCACTAGGAATATTGACTTTTAAAAGCTTCAAAAATGTTTAATCTGGCAGAGATCTGGTTCTTAAGTTTGATTTGGCTATTTGCAGCCATTTTTCAATGTTCCTAACCATCATCCTAAGACACCCAGACTTTCAAATTAAACTCCGAGGAACCCAAGCAGGTGGCCTGTGCAGTGGCCCCAGAAGCTGCCCTGGGCTCAGACCTTTGTATGTGCAGTGTGGGAGGCTCTGGCAATTGGACCTCCAGCCAAGAGAAAAAGTGAGGCCCCAGCAACATCTGGACACAGCACAGCCCTGCATCAGGCAAGTTCGCTCAGGACAGCAGGAGCTGAAACCTGAGATTCTAATCAACCAGAGGGACCAGGTGGACTCCATTCTCAGAACAGTGCAGTCAGGAAATAATGTCGGACAAAAACACAACACATTTTTTATTTGTAAAATCAAAATGACTGAAATATTTGCTGTTTGTCCCTTAGCCACGTCAGATCCATCTGAGGTGGTTATGGGTTTTTCTTGGGCCCGGGGCTGTCAGTCATTTCAGGGTCATTCTAGATGACTTAGATTCGAAGCTCCTTGGACCAGCTCCTGAAGACCCAAGTAGGGAGGTGCCTCTCATCCCTGGCGAGCTGCACCAAAGGACGGGTCCAAAAGTCCCACGTCCTACTGCACCTGCACCTACCGGTCCCCAGATGGGTTCCCTCCTACCTCACCGTAAAACAGGGCAAAACACAAAGACCTGGGGATGTCACATGACAGCTGTAAATATTACCTTCCTGTGTCTCTCCAAGTGGTGAGCCTCCAGGTGGACGTATTGAAAGGACTGAATATACAAGACACAGGAAATGAGAGCCTCTTTATCAAAACTGTAACTCAGCAAGAAACATTAACGTACAGATACCAGGTGAGCAGTAATTTCCAAGAAGGCAAGAACACCAGGCTCACTCAGCAGTGGCGGGACTGGCACTGAGAGGCGTCCCCACCACAAGACCTGGAAGTGTCTCGTCACCGGGGCCTGCTGGCTGCAGCCGTCAGCTTGTGCGCCTAAGTGGAGAGCCTACACCTTCAGGACACGTCGGTGTGACTGTCTTTCCTGCCTTCTGAACTGAACTCAGTATTCCAGCTATAAACCAAAGTGCTCCAGCCAGGCAACAGTGAGACCCAAAGTTTCCCAAAGACCCGTCTCTGAGGTAGTGTTGTTGGCTCTCAAACACCACCACGGGAGTGAGCCCATTCGGAAGCACACAACCGAGGTGCGGAGAATTAACTGGGCTCTGTGTGCAGGCGGCCTCTTATCAAGGTCAAGTGACATTCAGTGGACAAGTCATTTGAAACATCTAAAACCTGTTTATAACCATAGCTATAAATTAAAGTGCTTTACATTTTGCTTAATATTTGAAATCAGTGATTAGAATCCTATTTCAAAATTTGCTAGCATGAGACCTCGGGAGACTGAAATGATTTTCTATAAAAAAGCAGAAAACTTTTCTTTCCTAAAGAAACTCCAAATGGTGCAAATCCAACATCCCATGCTTTTTTTTAACTTCTAAACTCCAGGTTACCTTTGCAGAACTGTAACAGAAATTAGAGTAGAAGCTGACTACACGACAGCACGTGCTGAACTTCACGCGAGGTAAACACAAAATCCTGGAGCAATCCTGCTGGTCGCCAGCCAACACAGGCAGCCCCACAGTCTTCCCAGCAAAGGCAGATACGTACAGTTACTCCAGGGAACGCAGGACTGCCGACGCCGCAACGTAATACAGAAGTTCACATTTAATTCACACAAATGTAATGCCCTACTGTTCACCTGTCCAATGTCAACAACTCACAAGCATTTCATGTGCTACATGGGAGGTGAGCTTTGCCTCTACTGCCCAGAGGACCCAATATACATACATATACAAGACAAAAGTAAAAAATACGACCACACATTTCTCTGTACATTTCATGCAAGCTGGGCACTATGTGAAAAGAACATATACAAAGCACCCTTTCCAGGGTCAAACTCTCACAAAAATGGCTGATTAATACGCAGAAAAGCCTGCACCCATCAAAGGTCTGTGCTGGCAAACAGTGAAACTAAGGGCTGCCGGTGTCCTTATTTTTCTTGTAGCAATGCAGGGATGTTGATGTTCCAACCAATGGCTTGCCGGTCAAACCCACAGGTGAACAGATTGCACACGGGGTGGTCTTCACTCCATGCCGAGCAGCATACCATTCTCCTGTGGCCCTAGTGATGATCAAACAAACCAAAATCAGTGCATTATTCCCGAAAGTAAGATTATAAGACCTCAGCGAAATGAATAACCACATCACTCAAAGTACGTAAGTTATAGGAAAACAACATGGTGTGCAGGATCAGTCCCATGGACCACCGAGCACGGACCACCAAGCATGGACCACAGATCATGGACCACCGTGCATGGGCCACAGATCATGGACCACCGTGCATGGGCCACAGATCATGGACTGCCGAGCACCAACCACCGCCGAGCACGGACCACCGAGCACCCCATGGACCATAGAGCATGGACCACCAAGCATGGACCACTGAGCAGGACCACCGAGCATGGACCGCCGAGCATGGACCACTGAGCAGGACCACCGAGCATGGACCGCCGAGCATGGACCGCCGAGCACGGCAGAGCCGCCAGGACGTGCAGCCAGGCCAGAATGAGTGATGCCGAGACACCAGTGAGCACGAGGGTTGGTGGAACCCGCCCAAAAGCACTGTATGAGTCCTTCTTTAAGAAAATGAGTAAGATTACAGTCAGACAAAAAAATAAATGATCAATGTGAAATTTTTGAATAAATGAAGCTAGGAGATATTTAGAGGTAAATTAAATGATATTCACTCAAAGACTTCAAATTGCATTTTAACAAATAACTGGCTTCAGTAATAATGGAACTACAAAAATACATTTGGTGTCATATAAAACAAGGATAAATAAATGGCCTTTTAGGTAGATTCCTGCCATCTTCAGCAATTCCAGTTAAATATCAGCATGCTGGAAAAGTTACTGCAAAATATGTGACAGAGCAATAGCATATCGGTGTGTATGTACATAGCAGATGCAGGCTCTTAGCCAACACTTAGAATATCTGTAAGCAGTGCCTTAGCACCCATCTGCATTTTCTAAACTACACAACAGCTCTGATACGTTGCTGTTACAGCATCAGGTACAAGAGTGAGTCAGTATTAAGTAAAGTTGACAGATTAAGAAACACTCAAAGAATGGCATAAAGTTCTCCTGAAAATATTCCCCCATAAATATGCTATTTATACATCTGGAGAGAGAACCACAATAGCTATTTATACATCTGGAAAGACATCCACAAAAGGCCAGAAAAATAAAATAATTATAAGAAAGACCACATAACAAAGGGTTACAAAAGGCACAAAAAAGGAAGCAGCAATGCATCCACTAACTGGAGGCAAAACCAAGGCTGTGGGCAAGAGCTCTGCACAGTGAAACTCAAGGCATTCGCTGCAGAAGTGCCAAAGAGCTTCCAGAAGAAAGCCAGCCAGGCTTTCACCTCCGGCAGAGCTCCCATGGGATTTCCATCTCTCATGCGCCCACAGCATTGCCACCCAGGAAGCAGATGCACCCGGAAGACGCCCCATGCCGTCATGAGCCCCAGTGCACGTGATGTGCTCCAGGACGCTCAGCACGGGGCCCCACGGGCCTCCACATCACAGGGACCCTCACACTCCGTGAGCCTCCACGTCACAGAGACCCTTGCGCAGGGACCCTCACGCCCAATGAGCCTGCTCTTCACAGGAACCCTGACCCCGGACCTCCTGACTCTCCACCAAGCTCGCTTTCCCAAAACTCATGCTGGGAAGTGACACCTACTCCAGCACTACAGGGAAATATTTTCAATCAGTCCCTTTCACTCCACTACTTAAAGGCTCAAATAAGTGTTTTGTTTTCTCTTTTTCAAGTCAGTCAGCTGAAGAAGTAAGGACAATATAAGTCAGTGATTTCCAGCAGGGTTCTGTGACACTGAAAACCACATTTATTTATCTGAAGAGGTGTTACAAGTTCTAAATAAAGTTAAATCACATTCATTAATCTTAAAAATAAATCTATTTCACATACCACTTTAGGAGGGAATAAACCCAGGCACAACAGAATCCTACAACATCAACAAAGTTGAATGTTCACAGATAACTGAAAATAAAACTGTCTACACAGAATTAAGGCCAAGAAGAACCATTCAGAATTCCGTTTTTCTGAGGGAAAATACTCTCAAAGTAATAAAGTCATAGTTCACAGTCATAAACAAATAGTTTTCATGAATTTGTGTTTCAAAATGCAAACTTTACATGCTGCACAGAAATTTTAAAATCCGCATGGGCACATTGAAAAGAGAACATTCTACTGTGTCTAAGATGCAGCTGTGAGGACACATGAGTGATGCTCAGCTGTTAACAAAACATGAAAAGCTTCCCCAGGACAAGCAATTTATGGCTGTGTTAAGGGTTGTGAAGCATATTTTAGTCACTCTAATTTCATGAAATTTTTCTACTCCACTATTTGGATGTGTATCGAGGAGTAAAAACTCAATAATTAACTTCAAACAGTGCACTCTCATGCCAGGAAGGGGACTGAAGAGACACCCGGTCTCAGGGAAGCTCATTTCCAGAAAGTCTGTGCTACCGGAAGAAAAGGTGTTGCTGCGCTGAGAGAACCCCCACTTTCGCACGTGCCTCCCTGACCACCCGGCCTGCCTGCAGGTTCTGAGGCTCACACCCCGTGCAGAGCAGCTGCGGCCCACGAGCCATGAGCTGGTGTCCACAGAAGGAGCCACAGAGGCACTGAGGGGGCCACCCAAGCTGCCGGCAGGCGTGTGGCCCTGTGCAGCCACAGGAGGCCTCGGGGAACAAATCCATTTACTCACACAGGTATCCAGACAGTACTCCAACAAAATCAAAAGAAGACAGGAAAGAGGGATCCTCTGGGGGGGCCTCCATTACGCACAAGGCTGGGCAGACGCTGCCTCGACCACGGGGAGTTTCTTTTTTTTTTTTCTGAGACACAGTCTCGCTCTGTCGCCCAGGCTGGAGTGCAGTGGCGCGATCTCAGCTCACTGCAAGCTCCGCCTCCTGGGTTCACGCCATTCTCCTGCCTCAGCCTCCCGAGTAGCTGGGACTACAGACGCCCGCCACCACGCCTGGCTGATTTTTTTGTATTTTTATTAGAGACAGGGTTTCACCGTGTTAGTCAGGATGGTCTCGATCTCCTGACCTCGTGATCTGCCCGCCTCAGCCTCCCAAAGTGCTACGATTACAGGCGTCAGCCACTGCGACCAGCCACTGACCCCGGGGAGTTTCTGTGCATCGCAGCTGACCCTGTGACCTCCCAGGGGAGAGCCAACAGCAAACGCCACCCACATTATAGTGAGGCCCGGCTGCAGAGCACAGCAGAGCCGCCAGGGAATCTGAACACGGGCCCCCAGGCCCCCTGGGCCTCTGCATCTGTGCGGGTGCCATGGAGTCTCGATTCTCTTTGCGCCTTCCAGGCAACCAGGACGGGTGGGCTGAACAGCACATAGCGAGAAACTCCCTCCGCCGTCTTCTGAAGTTAGCAAGGAGCAACCCTTCACTAACAAGAAACTAACATTTAAATATATTTCTTCCTGTCGCAACAGCCTGCCATAGAAACGTGTTCTTCTGGCTGGAGGTGGAAGAGGTCCCACCTTAAAGACCCCCAGCCTACAACCAACCCAGCTTCTGCCTGGCCACAATGCCCACTCAACACTTCCAATCTGCACAGACACAACTGCAGACATCTAAGACGGCTTCCCCACAGAGCCACCACCACTAACACGTGCACCAAAGAGCTCGTTCCGCATGCCTGTGAAACAGAGGAGCTGCATGTTTTCTTTATTTGTAAACTGAAAAGCCGATCATGGTATTAAGAACACTGGGCTGGGCACGGTGGCTCACGCCTGTAATCCTAGCACTTTGGGAGGCGGAGGAGGGCAGATCACCTGAGGTCAGGAGTTCAAGACCAGCCTGACTAACTAACCAGCCTGACTAACAAAATTAGCCAGGCGTGGTGGCGCATGCCTGTAATCTCAGCTACTCGGGAGATTGAGGCTGAGGCTGAGGCAGAAGAATTGCTTGAACCTGGGAGACAGAGGTTGCCGTGAGATCATGCCACTGCACTCCAGCCTGGGCAACAAGAGCAAAACTCTGTCTCAAAAAAAAAAAACACTGAAGTAGGTGTGGAATAACTTGAGTGTACAACTCTACTTCTTCAATTTTAAATTTTATGAACTCTAAATACAGCTCAAGCATTTCCAAGGAAAACTTAGCATGCAAAGACTTAGTAAGAAAATGAGAATGTAAAATATCTCTACCCGTCCTCCTCCACTGTGCCCTGCATATGTTCACCGACCGTGCTGTTACCTGTCGGCTGCTCCGGGGAAGCCGCGCCAGGCGCACTCCTGACATATCAAACAGTCTCACTTGTCGGTTGTCATGGGGGAGGGCTATGATTTTTTGGCCGACACATACATTGATCCTGCAAAGAAGAGGTAAAAGTGGGTTGTGCATGAAACAGTGACACTGTAAGTTTTTGAGTTGACAGATAATGAAGCAGGAGGTTCCATATTATTCACATTTCAAGGCCGACTACATGAACACACTGCGTGTACCACCTGCTTACGGTATTCAAAAGAGACCAAGTTACTCACACGTAGCTACAAGATCACACAGACCCCATGCACATACACACAATACACACACACACACACACACACACACACACACACACTGCTCAATGGTAGAACCAGACCCACCCAGACACAAGACCAATCCTCACAAGAAGTCAAGAGAAGCCCTGCATGTCTGCCACAAACGGGTCATTCTCATTCTCACAAATCTCACTGATCCAACCTGGTTTTAGGCTAAGTTAGTTTAAGTTTTCATGGAATACTGAAACTGCATTAGAGGACAAAGGAGCCTAAACCATTGTTCCCGGGGTTCTATCAATTAAACCTCCATGAATAAAACATGAAATCACAATCAATCCTTTCACATCAAACTAAGCCACTTACTTAACCAACAGTTTGACTTTACCTGTTAATGGCAGAGTCCGTGCGAATAGTTGCAATGGGGGATCTCATATTTTTCAAGTCCCAGACTTTCACCGTGCGGTCATCGCTGCCTGAAACCACGTTGTCTCCCACGGTGAACACGGCAGAAGTCACAGTGCTATGAACAAAGGGCACAGAGTCAGATGCAACAGCAGGTGCAGGACGTGACACCACACCCCACACACAACCCTGACCAAGTGGGTGGGAAGGAGGTCGGAGAAGCGCAAACTCACAGCTCTCTCCTCTGCAAACTGCTCCCGCCTCCCAAAGCCTCTCCACCAGTGCAAGAAAAGGACAACTGATTTCTTCCCAGTGGATCAGAAACACACAGTCCATTCTACTCTATTCCACATCTACAGGCAACGGAACGAAGAGAGGTTACAGAAAGTAGGGTTGGACAGAACATGCCCAAATGTCTACACATCTGGGTCTATGGCAGAGAATTTAAAAAATCCATTCCAACAACAACTGTCAATCAATGTAATCATAACATATCTTGGTCTATAGCAGAGAATTTAAAAGAAATCCATTCCAACAACAACTCTCAATCAATGTAATCATAACACAGGAGTTAAGAGAAAAACACTCTGACAACAATTCAAACACGGACAAAGGACTTGGATCAACATTTTCCCAAAGAAGATATACAAACAGCCAAGAAGCCCCACACACCAGAATTCACAGTAGCATTACTGACAACAGCCAAAGAGGTGCAAACAACCCACATGTCCATCAGCAGATGGATTTAATGCGGCGTGTACACACAATGGAATATTATTCAGTCGTAAAAAAAGAAACTCTAACACGTGCTATGACATGAATGAACTTTCAAGAATCCCCCTCATCTAAGATCCCTGGACTAGGCAAATTCAGAGAAACAGGAAGTAGAACAGAGGTTCTCGGGGTCTGGGGGATGGGCATGAATAGTTTCACAAGTGCAGAGTTTCCATTTGAGATAATGAAAAAGCATAGGAAATAGTGCTGGTGGTTGCACAACAATGTGAATTGATTTAATGCCACTGAAGTACACACATAAAAACAGTTAAAATAGTAAGTTTCATATTATGTATATTTAACCACAATCTTTATCTTAAAAAGTTTGAGGAGAAAAATTCAACATCACAACCACTCTTGGAACCTGCTTCTATAAATCCAAAATAATAATTAATAGTTTTCTTTTTAATTCAAATGTGTTGAAATATGTGGCCCTCAGGGAGAGGCTCGAGGAACCGAAGAGGCCCTGAAATGGCTAAGATGGGAGACCCACGCCCTAAAGATGAAAAGTACCATAAAAACAAGAAGAGAGGGGGAAGAAAGGTTTCATCAGTTTATGTTAAACTCTTTCATAAACTTTTCTTCTGAAATGTAAAAAAAAGTGTTTGACATGGTGCTAAGTATATTAAATAGTCTTACCCGTGGTAAAATCGGATTAAACATGTAAACAAAGGATGTTATCACTTGAATTGCACTGAGAATCACTGAAGAAACCCAGGCAAAATCTGCAGAGGAAATCATGTCCTCACCAGCTGAGGCTGTGCTGGCAGTGGCTGGGGTGATTACCTTAACCAGTGATCAAAGGAAAGTCTCTGGCACTTGCCAGAAGGTATTTAGAACTCAAATAATAAAATGACATTTGAAGAAGAAAATTCAATCACCTCTTTGCTCACTGGCAAAGTTCAGTAAAAAGAATGTGATAAAAACCTTACTTTCCCCGTGAGCTAAGGGCACACAATCCAGGCATGATCCACTGCTGTCTTCAGCAACGGCCAGGGGGCTGCGCGTCCTGCCTGGCTCAGGGCTGGGGTGGGTCCCCATGCTCGCCATGCAGCTGGGCATGAGTGGCCCACCCAGGAAGGCATGGTCTGACTTCAGGGCAGAGTGGGCAGATCCTGAGACGCAGGGGCAGTGCCTTCTCAGAGAGACACAGGCTTGACCCCTACACTGTCTCCCAGGGCACAAAAACTGGGGTCACTCACTCTGTACAGGGGCTCAAAACCCGCCTCACCCCGCACTGAAGCAGCTGAGATACCTACGAGATGATAAGCATGTGAATTTCCACCTATCCATGAAGGAAGTGTCCTCTTGTCGTCACAAATCACTAATTTAATGTGGACCAAAAGCTTGGTTTCCACATCTACCCTCATCGAGGTCCAGTCCATCAAAATTGCTTGGAACTCTGGAGTCCAGTTAAATGCCAGTTGTCCCAGCCACTGAAGCTGTACCGTGACATGGGATTTCATGCTCTATGCGGCCCTGGATGAGAGAAGCACCACGCAGTCACAAAGCCCATTTATGAAAATCCTCCTCATTTAGTGGACACCAGCTGAGTCCTAATTACGTCTAAGTTCCACTGCATTAAGACAAGGTTTTTAAAAATATAACATCAAAGTACAGCAAAGCTACTGAGAATCAAGGTGCGTCAACAACACCTGGCAACACGCTCTGACACCGAGACCCCGGAACACAGTCAGGATGATGCGGCGGCGACCGTTTTCACGTCTGCATTCTCAAAGGCCTGGTCGTGGTGCCCACAGCTGCGGTGTGGATTGCTGACACTTATTCCCCCGCTAGGACCTGATGTCTGGTCGGGGCCCTTCCCTGTGGTGCAGCATCCTGGCCTGTGGATGTAGCAGCCGCCCTGCCCAGGCACATTAGAAACTAGAGCAGACCCCTCCCCAGGGGTGACAACAAACACTGTCTCCTGGGGGGAAACTGCCCAACTGGAAACCACGGCATCACACGGGGCAGGACACAAGCAAACGCCCAGCCTGGGTAACGAGAGCAGCACGGGTTACGAGAGCAGCATGGGCAGAGGAGAGAGACTGCAAAATCAACCCAGTAACTCCTCCAGAGTCTTCATCTAAAAAAATAAAGAACAACATGAGAGCTTGACTATAAATCAGACGCTGCCACGCTTCAGTGAGAAGGTTACAATGAGGCTTAGAGGACTTCGGCTGCTGGGGGAGCCTGGAAGAATGAGAGGAGAGGTGCCCCCAACTTCTCTTTGAACTGGAGTCTTCAGGAGGTTTGGCCAAGTTAAGTTTCAGTGAACATTCTGCTAAATTAATAGGAAAAAAGGCTCAACAAAAGATCGCCTAACTCCATGTTAATGAAATGCTAAAAGACATTAGGTTTTTAATAAATCACAATCCTGACAAGTATTGTCGGACATCAAAAGAAAAAAGAACTGGCAAAGAGGCAGCAGTTTCCAAGGCACCCTCAGCCCACAGGTCCCATGGGGAGGCTGGCGCGCACGGCCGTGCACTGGAAATGGTTCCGACGCTGCCAAACTCCGGCAAACTCATTTATCTTGTCGTGTGGGGCAGCCGAGCGTGCTCCTCCAGCTGACAGTGCAGCACCTCCTCGCCGCACACCACTGCCTGGTCTGGAACATTCCGCTCCCTCCGCGGGTCTCCATCAGCGGAAACGCCGCGAAGCTGGCATCCTCATTAGGATGAACAGCTGTCTCCCAGTCACACAGAGACACAGAACCGCTTCTGCATAACAATCTGCCGAAATTTCACTAAGGAAAAGACGACACGATGTGGAAAACACTGGGCCACAAAGCGCTGATGGGAGTGCTTTTCCGGCACGACATCAAACACTGACGATCGTTTCCTTTCCTATTTTTAAAACGCAGCTTCCTCAAGGTAATGTGTTCACATCTGAGGAGCACGCCTGTGTGTCCACAGAGAGGGAGTCCTGTGGACGGCAGCCCCTTCCTTGGAACCCAGGCTTCTCAGTCAAGGTACCGAGAACAGATCTTTGAAAATGAACAGCTGTGAAACAGGCAGCACTGTGGCTTTATTACTTTATTACTTTGGCATGTCAACTGTTCTGTTACAGCGCTGATACAAAAGTACAACACCTGCGTCGCCAACAGTCCTGACTTTAAAACAGTGCCCTGAGTAAGTAACCAAAGGACACCCCAATAAGCCAGCCAGGACCCCCGGGTGCCCCTCGGAGGCGGCGCTTCATAGCGCAAGGGAAGACATGGGGTAGCTGTGTTGTGTTTGGAGTCATCAGAGCCCTTCCTGCAACTTCCAAGCTATCTGCATGAAATCCAACTCCTAACACATTAAACAGGTCTTCTCTTCACAGCCAGGCAGCCCAAATGCACACTCGGGGTCTCCGAAGCTCCATCCCGGCCTTTCTCATCACCCACGCCTTTTGGAATTCAAGAACTCACACAAGCATTCATTTGACGAACTCAGAGGACTGACCAAGAAACGGAGAAGTCACATTCAAATAAGACACATTTCTCAATACTCCTTGATGGCTACCTCCCCAAAAAGTGGACCCTTCAGATAAAAATCAATCAAAGCAAAAATCAAGTATGTATCACATGTGATTCTTTTTCAGAATTTCAAATTCAACTGTTCCCTGGAGAAGTCAGTTCTCCTAATGCATAGTTCTACCTCAGTAGTCTCATGGGGCCATGCTACTCTCCAAACCCCTCTCGGCAGAAATAATGAGAGATTTCCCAACTAAGTCACTGATAAGGGCTGCACTACAGAACTGTTCATGCAACAAATATTTATTAAGCACTGGCTGTGTGCAGGCCCCGCTCCTCGTCAGACAGTGTGCAGAAGAGGAGGAGGTAAAGTCACTCCAGTGACGCCTCCCTCCTCCCAGCGAAGGGGGCAAGTGACTGGCCACTTATAATATTATAAGGTCAGCAGTGTTAGGCGCACAACAGCACCCTAAGGCCTGGAAGTGCTGCCAACAGGCACCACAGCAAAGCTACAAGAAGCCTCTGCAACATCTGTGTTTACCATGGCCCACAGAGAAGGGCTTCTAAAGTGACTTCAGACTATGCTAAAGCCTCCCTAAGATTTGACTAACTGAATTAGTAAGAACCTTTCCACAGACTATTCAAAGAGAACATTTAGTTCAGTATAACCTGACCACCTCATCCGGCCAAAAATAAGATTCTAAAGATGAGATCCATGAGCTATGGGGGCACAGTGAGAACACTCTTCTGCTAGCTGAAGAGCTTCACCTTGGCTATGACACAAAGAAAGAAGACCCATTACAGAAACACTGACCTGTGGTGCCTGGACTCAGTAACAGCACTCAGCTCTGTGTTCTCTTGCTCTGCTCTGTCTCGTGTACTGATCTTATCATCCTAGAACGTCAAGGCTACCAAGGACAGAGACCGTTTCTCACAACCACTGCATCTGCAGGAGCCTGTACAGACGTATTTTCCAAATATATGCTCTTGACTTGTTTTGCAGCACGGCCTTCTGGTATACAGAAGAAATTCCTAACGCCGATGCACTCATGTTTTTTCTTCATAGGAATGGCCCTTAGTCTTTTATTCAGGGTTCATTTTCATTTCTACGTTATCAGTTTTAGAATGTTCAGGAGCAGTAAGTAAGAGAAATCAGTGGGATTGAGTGAGAAACAGCATTAGAAACCAGCACAAAAATGGCAAAAAGCAACAGCTGACTTCCAGAGAAGCTGAAACAAAACACTCAACAGAGACAAACAGTAACGCCCAGGCTGCGGGGCCATCAGGGCAGGGAGACAGCGTGGCAGTGCGTGCACACTCCTAAAGCACTGGTATGTCCCTCTCTTACACACACACACGAAATAGTCTTTTTTTTTACAAAGTGTTGGTTCTTGAGGGATCATTGGAGAAATCGCTTCTGTGGAACATCGTGCTCTCCAAAGATGGTGTTAAATGAAGTGTTTCTCTGCTCTGCTGCTGAGCACCAGAAACCCTGCAGCTCAGATGCCTGCAGGGACTTCATGCAGAGCTGGCTGAGGGTGGCTGAGTGCACGCAGCTCAGATGTGTGCAGGGACTTCAACCAGAGCTGGCTGAGGGTGGCTGAGTGCACGCAGCTCAGATGTGTGCAGGGACTTCAAACAGAGCTGGCTGAGGGTGGCTGAGTGCACGCAGCTCAGATGTGTGCAGGGACTTCAAACAGAGCTGGCTGAGGGTGGCTGAGTGCACGTGGCTCAGATGTGTGCAGGGACTTCAAGTAGGGCTGGCTGAGGGTGGCTGAGTGCACGCGGCTCAGATGTGTGCATGGACTTCAAACAGCTGGCTGAGGGTGGCTGAGTGCACCTGGCTCAGATGCGTGCAGGGACTTCAAACAGAGCTGGCTGAGGGTGGCTGAGTGCACACGGCTCAGATGTGTGCAGGGACTTCAAGTAGGGCTGGCTGAGGGTGGCTGAGTGCACGCGGCTCAGATGTGTGCATGGACTTCAAACAGCTGGCTGAGGGTGGCTGAGTGCACCTGGCTCAGATGCGTGCAGGGACTTCAAACAGAGCTGGCTGAGGGTGGCTGAGTGCACACGGCTCAGATGTGTGCAGGGACTTCAAGTAGGGCTGGCTGAGGGTGGCTGAGTGCACGCGGCTCAGATGTGTGCAGGGACTTCAAACAGAGCTGGTTGAGGGTGGCTGAGTGCACGCGGCTCAGATGCGTGCAGGGACTTCAAACAGAGCTGGCTGAGGGTGGCTGAGTGCACGCAGCGCAGATGCTGATAAGAGGCTGCCAGGCGACCCTCACATGCCACCCGGGCCCTGGCTCTGCAGTGGCCATGCACACAGCATGGTCACCACCATCTTTTCCAAACGTCAGCTGACGCTTTAGGCAGCCACCCCTCCCCATGCTGCCCGCTCTGCGTATCATGCTGGTTTCTGCTGACTTGTGGACTCAGACACCCCCACCTGTCTCCGGAGTCTGTCCTGAAGTACCTCACAGTTAGGAAGTTTTGAGTATGTGTCAATAGCCTGATGGCTGTCTTACAGTCATCTCAAAGAAAAGTGACAGAATCTGACAGGCCGAAACAAAGCTGTCCAGTAGAGCGATTCAAACGCAATCATTTCCTTAAGTCCTTATTTATGAGTTCCTGAGTAGCCCTTCTTAAATGAGGAACTTTAAAAGGGTAAAACAGAGATACACTAAATCTCCTCTCACTTTTAAAAACAATATTCTAACTTGGAAGCGACTTTAAAATGCATCAATAGGCAGCCAGGCTCAGTGGGTCATGCCTGTAATCCCAGCACTTTGGA
The DNA here is from genome assembly GCF_000001405.40 of Homo sapiens. Taxonomy (NCBI): domain Eukaryota; kingdom Metazoa; phylum Chordata; class Mammalia; order Primates; family Hominidae; genus Homo; species Homo sapiens. The sequence continues at coordinate 1,117,310 of NC_000010.11, read as the reverse complement.
GGCTGAGGCAAGAGGATCACTTGCGGCCAAGATTTCGAGAGCAGCCTAAGCAACATGGTGAGACTCCATCTCTACAAAAAATACAAACATTAGCAGGGAGTGGTGGCACAGCCCTGTAGTCCCTGCTACTCAGGAGGGTGAGGTGGGAGGATCACTTGAGCCCAGGAAGTCGAGATTGCAGTGAGCCGTGATCATGCCACTGCAGTCCAGCCTAGGCGAGAGGGTGACGCCCTGTCTCAAAAAAATAAACCAATAAAAATTTAAAAACATGCATCAACAAGGGACTGGCTCAGGAAGTTACTGTTAGGTTCATATCACAGGACACTGAGAGAGGAGGATGGAACGGCAGCTCTGCAGGTGGTGGCACGGACAGCGCTGCTCTGCTGGTAAGAGACAAGGATTCTCCTTTGCACAGAAAGAACCACTGGGCCTAGGTGTGCCCAGCTGCACACTGTATCTGCTAACGTCTCCTTGGCAGTTTCTGTGGTCACAAGACAAAACATTCACTAACTAATACAAAGGAAACACCCAAGACCACCCCTGAACATGACTGCTGCAGTGAGGTTCTGTTCCCGCCAACTGCTGCCCACTACAGTTCTCTGGAATCTGCACCATACTCAGGCCAACCAGCAAAGCTCCGAAAAGCTGTCACGGGCGACAGATGGAGTCCTTAGTGACCCTAGCCTGGGTTTTATGATAACCTTGGATATCAGCCAGTTATTATTAAGAGTTGTATTTATATAAATCTATACACTTCCTAAAAATAAAATCACCTTTATTAATTTATGCAGCAACATGGATAGAACTGGGGGCCATTATCTTAAGTGAAACAATGCAAACACTGAAAGACAAAGAGCGTGTGTCCTCCTTGGCAAGTGGGAGCAAAACTACGTGCACACAGGGACAGCGGAGGACTGACAGACAGGGTGGAGACCCAGGGTGAGGTGGGTGACGGGAGGACTGAGAGACAGAACAGAGACCCGGGGAGGGGTGGGTGACGGGAGGACTGAGAGACATGGCAGAGACCCGGGGCGGGGTGGGTGATGGACAGGGCAGAGATGACCCAGGGCAGGGGGGATGACGGGAGGACTGATGGACAGGGCAGAGACAACCCAGGGTGGGGTGGATACAAGACTGATGGACAGAGTGGAGACCTGGGGCGGGGTGGATGACGGGAGGTTGCCTGGTGCGTGCAACGAGCATCACTCCAATGAGGGGTATGCTGAAGGCCCTGGCCTCACCTGAGTGGAGTACATCAAGGTAGCAAAACTGCACTCACACCCCATGAATACATACAACATTTTGTTAAAGTACTCTAATGTAATCTAATTAAAAAGACAACCACCAAGCTTTCAGGCATATGGGTAGGGGATGTAACACTGAGAGGAGACACAGGTGTGCTTCCAAGGCCCCACAGCCTGCAGGCCGTCCTCATCTCCATGTCACTTCCGCCCCAGAGGCCCTTCCACAGGGCCCTGCTGTCTGCAAAGTCACCACCTGGTAGATGGCTGGCTCTCCACCTTCCCCACAGACAAGGACTCAAAAGCCATCACCAAAAAGAAAGCAGATCTGAAAGTGGAAAGCAAACTGATTTAGAGACCACATGCGTCCTTTCCAACACGCACCTCCCAGGCGGCCAGCTGGCCGGACAGCACCCAGAGGCCCACACCCAAGCTGACACCTGCATGCTGACTGTGACCAAGCACAAAGTTCAGGTGCAATTAAAACTGCCCATCATCCAGTTAAAAATGTCGATTTCCAAACATCTTTTCCCTTTAAAAGCATAAGGAAAACTGTTAACACCATGACACAAGCTGCAAAACTGTGTTTACCTTTCTGAGCACATGATCTAGAACTCAGTGTTTAGTACCAAATCTCTCCCCCAGGTGTTTGGAAATAAAAGCACACAAACATGTCATCACTTCAAAGTGATCATTATAATTTCTCAACTGATCTTTTAAAATTTTGTTTGGTTAGATGTGTGTTTTGTTTTCTTTAGAAGAAAGCACCAAAGACCACATTTTGGGAATAAAGTTAAAATCGTTTGCAAAGAATTAAAAAGGAAGAAAACAAAAAACTTTGCATCCTCAAATATTGCATCCATGTTGAGATGATCTCCTGTTTTTTTCAATGCTAAAGTTTATCCGCATTGCAAACACTGCCAGCCCGGCACAAGGCAGAGCCACCTGCCACCCACAGAGGAGGCTTAATGGCCAGTGACACCTCGCCTGTCAGCTCCTTTTTATAGCAACCAAAATAACAACAACAAAAAAAAAAAAACAAAAAAGGGAGATGGGGAGGGGAGGAAAACTCTACGGGATTGGGGTGTGCTGAGGGAGGTCTGAGGGCTGAGGCTGAGATCTAAACAGGCAAATGTCATGACAGCAAAAGCCTCTTGCAGGCACGTCTATTCACCCACGGTCTGCACAGTGAGGGCCCACGCTGGAATGGCCTGCGTGTGGGTTCAGCCCCCTGGGTGTGTGCAAGGGAATGCAGCAGCCAGGAGAGGGCCAGACTTATGGAATTACACTGCCGGGTGAAAAACACACGAACAGAAAAGAACTTAGTTCAGGTGAAAAGCACTGACTTCCAGCTGCAGCTCCTGGTGGTTAGGACAAACACAGGCAATCTCGGAGCTTCTGCGGGTTCCGTTCATTCCAGAACACGCTGTGAGGTGAAGATCGCAGTAAGGCGGATCACAAGAGCTGTCTGGTTTTCCGGTGCATACAGAAGCCATAGCCACACCATCCTGTAGTCTGTTAAGTGAGCAACCGCATTACCTCTAAAAACGCAATGTGCATTTCTTAAGTAAGATAAATTTTACCACTAAAAAACACTAACAGTCATCTGAGCCTTTGGTAAGTCATAATCTTTTTGCTGGTGGAGGGTCCTGCCTCGATGCTGATGGCTGCTGACTGATAAGGGTGGTGGCTGCTGAAGGCTGGGGCAATTTCTTAAAATAGGACAGCAATGGAGTCTGCTATAGCAATTGATTTCTCCTTTTACAAAAGATTTCTCTACCGCATGTGATGCTGTTTAAAAGCATTTTACTGGGGCCAGGCATGGTGGCTCACGCCTGTAATCCCAGCACTTTGGGAGGCCAAGGCAGGTGGATCATTTGAGGTTAGCAGTTTGAGACCAGCTTGGCCGATGTGGTGAAACCCTGTCTCTACTAAAAATGTAAAAATTAGCCAGGCATGGTGGCAGGTGCCTGTAATCCCAGCTACTCGGGAGGCTGAGGCAGAAGAATTGTTTGAACCTGGGAGGCGGAGGTTGCAGTGAGCCAAGATAGCACCACTGCACTATAGCCTAGGCAACAGGGCAAGACTCCCATCTTAAAAAAAAAAAAAAAAAAAAAAAGGCATTTTACCCACAATTGAACCTCAAAACTGGAGTCAGTCCTCTCAAACCCTACCACTGCTTTACCACTGAAGTTTATGGAATATTCAAAATCCTTTGCTGTCATTTAAACAATGTTCACAGCATCTTCACCAAGAGTACCTTCCCACTCAAGAAACCACTTTCTTTGCTCATCCATAAGAAGCAGTTCCTCGTCCATTCAAATTTATTGTGAGATTGTAGCAATTCAGTCCCATCTTCAGGATCCACTTCTAATCCTAGTTATCTTCCTGTTTCCACCACACCTGCAGTGACTTTCTCCATTGAAGCCTTGAACCCCTCAACGTCTCTCAAATTCCTGTGACATTTTGACCTTCTCCCATGAATCACAAGTGTTCTGAATGGCGACCAGAATGATAAATCCTTTCCAGAAGGTGCTCAATTGACGTTGCCAAGGTCCATCAGAGGAATCACTATCTATGGCAGCTATAGCCTTACAAAGTGTATTTTTTAAATAATAAGACTCAAAAGTCAAAATGACTCCTTGAACCATGGGCTGCAGAATGGGGGTTGTGTTACCAGGCATGAAAACACCATTCATCTCCTTGTACATCTCCGTCAGAGCCCTTAGGTGCACTGTCAATAAGCAGGACAATTTTGAAAAAAAAGTTTTTTCCTGAGCAGTAGCCTCAACAATAGGCTCAAAATATTCAGAAACCATGGTGTAAACAGATGTGCTCTCATCCAGCCTTTGGTGATCCATTTATAGAGCACAGGCAGAGTAGGTTTCACATAATTCTTAAGGGCCCTAGGATTTTCAGAATGGTAAATGAGCACTGGCTTCAACTGTAAGTCACCAGCTGTACTAGCCCCTCACAAGAGCATCAGTCTGTCCTTCGAAGCCAGGCAGTGACTTCTCTTCTCTAGCTAGGAAAGTTCTACGTGGCATCTTCTTTAACAGAAGGCTGTTTTGTCTACACTGAAAATCTGTTATTAAACATAGTCATCTTCATCGATGATCCCAGCTGGATCTTCTGGAGAACTTGCTGCAGCTTCTCCATCAGCACTTGCTGCTTCACCTTGCACTCTCATGTTATGGAGACGGCTTCCTTCCTTAAACCTCATAAACCAACCTCTGCCAGCTTCCAGCTTTTCTTCCGCAGCTCCCTCACCTTTCTAAGCCCTCACAGAATTGAAGAGTCAGGGCCCTGCTCTGGATTAGGCTTTGGCTAAAGGGAATGTTGTGGCTGGTTTAATCAATGCAGACCACTCAAAGTTCCTTCATATCAGCATTAGGATTGTGTTCTTATCATTCGTGTGTTCACTGGAGTAGCAGTTTTACTTTCCTTCCAGAACTTTTCCTTTGCATTCAGAACCTGGCTGTCCAGTGCAGGATGCCCAGCTTTCAGCCTCTCTGCCTTCGACACATCTTCCTCACTAAGCTTCGTCATTTCCAGCTTTCAAGTGAGGGACACGCAACTCTTCATTTCAACACTGAGAGGCTGCTATAGGGATGTTAATTGGCCTAATTTCAACAGTGTTGTGTCTCACTCATGAAGTCAGAGGCATTAGGAGAAGGTGAGAGACGAAGGAACGGCCAGTTAGTGGGGCAGTCGGAACACACACGATTTATCGACTAAGTTCACTGTCTTCTATGGGCAAGGTTCCCAGGGCCTCAAAACCAATTATAACAGTTACAGCAAAAGTCACTGACCACCCTCATATAATCACAATGAAAAAGTAAGAAGTATTGTGAGAATGACCAAAATGTGAGAGAGAGGCAGGAAGTGAGCACGTGCTGTTGGAAAACTGGCACCAACAGACCTGCTCAGCCAGGGCTGGGCTCCACAGACCTTCATTTGCAAAAAACATCAATCTACGGAGTGCAATCAAACAAGGTGTAAGAAATAGCCACCAAGGCACGTGCCTGCAGTCCCAGCTACTTGGGAGGCTGAGGCAGGGGAATCGCTTGAACCCAGGAGGTGGAGGTTGCAGTGAGCCGAGATTGCACCACTGCACTCCAGCCTGGGCAACAGAGCGAGACTCCGTCTCACAAAAAAAAAAAAGAGAGAGAGAGAAATAGCCACCAACAGCTGAATTCCTGTGACACACTGAAATTTTCAAATTAAGCCTTTTTATTATTTCTAATAACAACACATACTACAACTTCACATTTCTGCTATATGAAGTATCTAAAATTGCTTTTCATATAAATCAGTACACGCTGGGTCACTAACAAACAGTCAAATAAAAACAGCCACACAGTTACGCCAACTAAGTACTATCATGGTAAAATTCCTGCTATAATACAGAGATGCCACAACACAGAGTGGAAAGAAATAAGACACATCAAAAGGAAAAGGTGACTGGTCCTTCTAAACACGTAGGATCAAAGCCTTCAGCAGCTCACAGCACGGAGCTCCATCCCCATCCAGCAAAGGTAATGACCACACGTTTCAGGGGACCCATTTCGCTACACTTTTCTTTCTTACAGTGAAGCATTGGAACTCAAACTCCAGTCTTTCAAAAAGGCACAGAATGCAAGTAAAAGTATGGGGATTACAGTAAGAAAAAAAAGAAAGTGGGGAAAAATCTCTCCTGGAAACTGGATCACAAAACTGGGCCAGTTACCTTAAGCCTTTAGAGCTACTTCTTGCCTTAAGAAAACCCAATATACAGCAATTCACCTTAACTAGACAGTTAATTATTTACATTATAAAAGACATTAGATTCCAACATACTATACTAAAGAATTTACGCTTAGTTCCTACAAGTGAAAATACGCCCTAAGATAAAACTTTGAAAAGCACATTCCACATCATGTTAATATAAATTATGTGAGAAAGGGTATTTTTAGTCACACATGTTGAAGAAATACTGCCTCTGTTTAAGGGGTATCACTAAAAACACCATGCATATAACTTTCCAGCCTACATCAACAAGAACAGCAAACTTCCTAAGAACACATGTCTGACTTTTGCTTTCAATGCTCAGGAAAAGAACTAGTGAAAAGAACTCAGGATCACCCTGTAAAACCGGCAGAGCTACTTCCCGGATGAGCAGGCAGTCCTGCAGGCCTCAGGCCCGGCCCTGGGCCAACATTCCCACCTATCAGGGTGCCAGGCCCTGTGGGTCTGGGCGCTAACACGCTGGACACCCATCGGAGGCTCACGGATGTCCTTGGCGATGCCGTGGCCACTGCAGAGAAGCCCCCGGCGCAGAGGGTCCCTCAGAATGACATGGTGGCAGGGAAGGCAGGGGACCCAGGGTGTGCTCTTACAAGTCATGTTCAGAACGTCCCAGACAAGTGACCAAACGGAACACACACACACAACCTGGCCATTCCTCTCAGGAACTAAACCCGCACCCCGGACCTCACCCAGGTGTGCTGGGGCGCGGACGCACATCTCAGGACCTAAACCGCACTGCGAGGCCCTCACCCTGGTGTGCTGTGGCGCGGATGCACAGCTCTACACATTTGTAAGGATCACGCACTCTGTAGGTTTTATTTGTCGTATTGGCTCGAACCTACAAAACCCATGCCGGAGACAAAGGCAAGTGTTACTAAGAAGACACCTCAGATGAAACATTTTTGTAAAATGACTCATTTCCTGCTTTTCTCATTATGAGGCACGTCTAAAGGTTTACAGCTGATCTGATGTCAGGAAGGAAGAGTTTGTGTTCAATAAAGGCGTCCACGGCTCCACCTGCTGACCAAGCCCTCATCCTGCATGCGCACAGCTGAGAAACCGCCAGGCCGGTGAGGGGAAGCTCAATGTCCAACAGCCCAGCGGACTCGCCCCGACACAGCAACAAAATTAGCGCCAAAGAGAGATCTTTTCAAAACGTATTTTTGGATGTACACATCAACAAGATACGCTAGTTCATGATAATTTGAGTAAGAAAAAAGAAAGCGTAAACGATCTGAGTAAGCATGGCCCGGGCAGGTCTGGTCCACGTTCACCTCACCCCCGTGGTTCAGGTGAATGGAAGCACAGCCTACAGCCTGGAAGACCCATGTGGGAGAAAGGGCACACGGGAATTACACACTCCACCTTACTCTACCCCCACACCTGATTCCAATAGGAAGACATAAACCCTAGGAAACTGTATTCATAGGTCCACATTAGTAAGAACTTTTTCATAACACTTACTACATTCTTCATAAGTACAGCTCTCTAAAAAACTACCATTGTTTCATGTATCCACTAGCTGCAAAAATGTACCACAAATTAACCAGAATTTTTTTTTTTCTGAGACGGAGTTTGGAGTTTCGCTCATTGCCCAGGCTGGAGTGCAACGGCGTGATCTCGGCTCACCGCAACCTCCACCTCCCAAGTTCAAGCGATTCTCCTGCCTCAGCCTCCCAAGTAGCTGGGATTACAGGCGTGCGCCACCACACCTGGCTAATTTTGTATTTTTAGTAAAGACAGAGTTTCTCCATGTTGGTCAAGCTGGTCTCAAACTCCCAGCCTCAGGTGATCCCCAAAGTGCTGGGATTACAGGCGTGAGCCACCGCGCCCAGCCTAAGCAGATATTTTAAAGATGCCACCAGCACTGACTTCACTTCACAGTCAAATGGCCAAGACCACACGGTTGCAACAGCCTTAGAAGCGAAAACATGCACTTGCAATCAACTCTGGTGATATAAATACAAAAACTTTTCTTTTTACACAAAACAAAAATAAAATCTTCCAGTTAAATATGGCAACTGAACAGAGACAATACAGGACTAGAAGGGTCTTAAATAACACAAGAGGCACCTTGAAGGCACCAGGAGGGACTGCTCTGGAATGACCCCCTAGAGCCAAACCCTCAGCAAACCACCTGGCCTCCTCATGCCTCAGTTTCTCTCTCTGAACTGGGGTGATGCCAGGGGCTCCAACAGTGCCTGGCACAAACCAGCAACTCACCAAGCCCTGGCTCCACTGCGTCCTCCTCTGGACAGAATTCTTCGGCCTTTCCATCCTGCCCTCAAAGGGGACAGGCACAGCAGGGCACACTGGCCTATCCCTGCAACCCCCATATCAGAAGCACATAGGAAGCTGCCCTGCTCTCTAGACACAAAACTACCCTCTTCACCCAATTCTCAAAGCTCTGACAGATTTTTGTGCTCCATACAGATGACCAGAGTCAATGCAGTGAGAGCTGCTGGGTCTTCCCAGCCTGGGGCAGGGAGCTGTGCCAGGATGGTGGCACTCAGGGCCCTGCAGGTTCCACGGGGGGGGGGGGCATCACAGAAGCCAAAACCAAAGCAACCACAGGGATCACAACCACCAACACCAACAAAGTGCAGGTGTCTATGCTCGCTAATACTCAAAAAACACAGTGCCAACTAACCAGTGTAGACAGAAGTACAAAGATCCCCTTCTGCAGGACTCAGCGTAACAATGAGCTGAAGCCCTGGACCGAGGAAAGGTCACTGGGGAATTAACATCCATAGAATAGTGTCGCTTCGCTATTTGAAACAGGAGAGCACCTCTGGCAGGCAGACCTGCAGACGCCATCTTAACTGCAGGAGCGCTTCAGCACACCAATAGCACAGCAGAGGGGCACTTAAAGGAAGTCATAAGAAAAATGCAGAATGAGGGGCGTTCTGCAAAAGAGCAGGCTTGGATTCTTCACCAAAAAACTCAATATCCTAAAAAGTAACAAAAAATGGGGGAAGGACCATTCTAGATTAAAAGAAGCCAAAGGACATAATATCTAAATGTGATGAGAGAATCCTGATTAAATCCTAGCTCTAAAAAAAGTATCAAAGACATTTTGGGGAGAACTGAGTAAATTTAAATGTGGACCAGATAAAGGATGCCATAGAATTTTTACTAATTTTCTTATTTGAACAATGGTACTGTATTAGGAGAACATCCTTATTCTTAGAAAATGCATGCTGGAGTTTTCCTTTCAAAGGGCTCAGCCAAAGAAAATATACAAGTGTGTGTTATAGACAGAGGTGTGTACACATCTACAGAGACAGCAGTGCTGCAATACAACAACAGGTGAACCTAGGTGAAGGATAAGTGGGCGTGTCTGTTACAGACAGGTGTGTACACATGTGTAAATAGAGACAGCAGTGCTGCAATACAACAACAGGCAAACCTAGGTGAAGGGGAAGTGGGCGTGTGTTTCAGAGAGAGGCGTGTACACATGTGTAAAGAGAGACAGCAGTGCTGCAATACAACAGGCGAACCTAGGTGACAGGGTAGTGCGTGTTGTGTGTTACAGACAGTGGTGTGTACACATGTGTAAAGAGAGACAGCAGTGCCGCAATACAACAGGTGAACCTAGGTGAAGGGTTAGTGGGCGTGTGTTTCAGAGAGAGGTGTGTACACATGTGTAAAGAGACAGCGGTGCTGCAATACAACAGGTGAACCTAGGTGAAGGGTTAGTGGGCGTGTGTTTCAGAGAGAGGTGTGTACACATGTGTAAAGAGACAGCAGTGCTGCAATACAACAGGCGAACCTAGGTGAAGGGTTTGTGGGTACACTGTACTACTCTGTTGGTTTTTATGTAGGCTTGAAACTTTTCTAAGCAAAAAGCTTAGGAAAGCACTGCAGGCGCAGGAGTGAGACCATCTTGCTCCTCCCGTCCTCTAGGCCTCCGACTGCCCTTCCAATGAATTCTCATGAGAAACAGCAGGGCAGTCATGCGGGCCCCTCTGCCCCGCCCTACACAGTGGTGCCAGGTGGTGGGCCCAGGTCCAGCCAGGGCTTTGCTGTGGGGCCCCTCTGCATCTGGTGGACGTCGGGGAGCACCACATCCAAGCTAACATGCATGGGAAGCAGCGCTCCCCGAGCTGCAGCATCTTCCTCACCAATGAGCTGGCCTGCAGCGGGGTCAGGCCCATGTGGCGGAGCTCATGGGGGCCCAGCTCAGCGCCTGCTGCACCCTGATGCAGCAACAACACAGTGCTGCGTTCAGCCACTGACCACCGGGAGGTCTGTATTACTATGGCTATCGCTGACGGAGCTGGCAGAATAAACGCTGACCTGATGTCAGGACGGAGCAGTTTAATGCGTGTGATGCCCCCAGAACAGACCCAGGCTGCCATAAAGATCTCTACGCATGGTCGTGACTGCTGCCTGCTCCCGTTCCAGCCTCAGAGTCAAGGAATTAGCTTTCCAATCTCAAGCTTCTTTTTAAAAACGTTGTCCTGGCCAGACGCGATGGCTCACACCTATAATCCCAGCACTTTGGTAGGCTGAGGCAGGCGGATCACCTGAGGTTAGGAGTTCAAGACCAGCCCAACCAACATGGTGAAACCCCACCTCTACTAAAAATACAAAAATTAACCAGGCATGGTGGTGGGCGCCTGTAATCCCAGCTACTAGGGAGGCTGAGGCAGGAGAATCGCTTGAACCCGGGAGGCAGAGGCTGCAGTGAGCCGAGATCATACCACTGCACTCCAGCCCGGGCGACAGAAAGAGACTCCGTCTATTAACAAACAAACAAACAAACAAAAAGTCCTATTTTCCTTTCCAACATCTTACTAACATTTTGAACATTAAATCTAAAACTTAGTAACTAACGTTAAACATATAAAACAGATTTTCATATTTGGAGTTCATTTATAAACCTTTCAATGCACACTGCTTATCCAGACGTCGGGGTGGAGAGCAGCACTGGTGGGAGGTAGGGGGAGCATGGAGGAGCGAGGAGCGGCCGGGAAGATCCCACAGGCATGGCTGGCAGGAGACTTGCCAGTGGACCACAGTGGGGCATGATGGGGGAACGGGGAACAGAGATTAAAAGAGAAGAACCAGGGAACACTCTAGGTAGACAGCCCCCGTGACTGGGCAGACGGTCTCATCATTGACTGAGCAGGGCCAGACTGGGGGAAGGAGACGGTCACGGAAAGAACTGAAGAGTTCTGTTAAGACCTTACACGGCTGGGCGCGGTGGCTCACGCCTGTAATCCCAGCACTTTGGGAGGCCGAGACAGGCGGATCACGACGTCAGGAGATCGAGACCATCCTGGCTATCACGGTGAAACCCCATCTCTACTAAAAATACAAAAAACTAGCCAGGCGTGGTGGCAGGTGCCTCTAGTCCCAGCTACTCGGGAGGCTGAGGCAGGAGAATGGCGTGAACCCGGGAGGCGGAGCTTGCAGTGAGCCGAGATAGCGCCACTGCACTCCAGCCTGGGCGACAGAGCGAGACTCCGTCTCAGAAAAAAAAGACCTTACACTTGAGTTGCCGGAGAGAAACCCAAGCAGAGAGGGACACACTGGATTGAGGGTCTATGTCTGTGTTTGCGCGTCTATGTGTATACCTTCTCCCAGAATATACCACGCAGACACGTGTAATAACAAAAACTAGATGGAAAAGATCCAGGAGACACCCCGTGGGTAGGAGTAACAGCTCCCGCGGCTCCTATGGTGGCGTGGCCGGCCCCTGTGCTCAGCTACAGGCTCTGGCAGCCCTGCTCTTCTCTAACCCTCTCCACCCACTCCCCCATTCTGTCTGCATTAAACTTCTTGAGAGAACTTCGGAGGGTGCCTTCTCTTAATCTCCTACATCCTTTGAAATAGCCAAAATGGAGCTAAATGTTTAGAAAAAGAATAGCAGAATTTGAAAGGTAGTTATTTTTTTGAAAGATAGTAGAGTCGGAAATACTGAAAATTAAGGCTAGAATTAAGTTTTCATGTCAACCCACAGAACTTTTTCATGACTAAGGACAGATGTCTAAACTACCGCAACTCACTCCGTGTGTCCCTGGAAAACATTCACCGAGTGGATGGAGGGGTCCCTGAAATCCCAGAGGCGGAAAGTCGTGTCACGGGAGGAGGTCACCACGAGCCGCTGGGTGGGGTGTGTGCAGCAGTGCGTCAACTCCTGGTCGTGCCCTGTAACCAAGATGGCAAAACACAAGGTCATCACCTGAGGAGCACGCTGAGAGAGACGCTTTTCAACAGCACAAGAACCCAAGAAGCCGTCTCTCTGAGACTGTGAACCTGACCTAATGGAATCACTCAGCAGCATGTGGGTCACAGTGGGGCAGGTTTTCCCTCAGAAGCTGAAGTCCTTTCAGCCGTCCATGTCAAAGGAACAGAAAACCAAACAGGTGCATAACCCATTTTCTGACCCTACCAGTTAGAAGGTCAGGCAAATTAACAGGTTGAATGTGAGAACCACTTAAATCTTGATTCTTTGCTTAGAATACCTTCTAATGATACAACGCTATGGGTCCTCAGTCAAATACAATCTTTAACGCTCATGCAGGAAATGCACTTAGAGATAGATTCGCAGAAGCAACTTCAGCAGGCAGCATCCCAAGATGGCCCCAAGCCACCCCCACCCCGTACATGCCTAACACCCTTCCCTTCAGTTAGGGCAGAGCCTGTAAATAGGATGAGATTATCTTTCTGGTAATTATGATACATTATAAGGCAAAAAGGATTTTGCAGATGTAATTAAGGTCCCTAAATGAGTTGACTTTGACTTCATCAAAGGGAATATTGTCCTGGGTGGTCTGGCCTAGCCCTTAAAAAGGGTCCCAGAAGTTGGAGAGTTCAGAGCAGCAGGGGAGCTCCAGCTGCAGAGGAAAGCGGCTGCTGTGTGGGAAAGGCAAGCCCTGTGCAGGGGCCCCAGGGCCAGACACAGCCTCTGCACGCCCAGAGGAGCCCCGGCTGGCAGCTGGCAAGAAGACAGGGCCTCAAACTCCAGACGCAAGAAGGAGCTCCTCCAATGACCAGCAGGCTTGGAAGAGGACCGCAGCCTTGGGGAGGTCCTGACCAGGCAGCACCCTCACTTAGGTCTTTGAGGGCCCAGGGAGAAGAGCAGCTACCACGGGCCCAGAATTACTGACCTGGGAAACCATGAGGCCGTCAATTCCTGTCGTTTTAAGACACTAAGATTGTGGAAATTTGTTACAGAGCAATGGAAAACTAATACAACTACCATATGTCCAATATCTAGATACTACATGCTACAATTTAAAACCCCTGAAGACAAAATAAATTTAGCTACCAATAGTTCTATTATTAATAGAAAGAATCTCCAAAAATTACCACAGAAGAGCCAAGAACACAGAGACTCATTCTGGTCAAGAAGTAAGTGGCAAGGTCAGACATAACCCATGGACATAAACTAACATGCACAGCCAGGAGGCGGCGGACTCAGAGAACCCAGGCACCTGTCAGAGAGTGAACGAGCTCGGACGTCTCCACGTCGTACAGGTTTGCCGTCCGGTCCCAGGAGGCAGTCACAGCCTGCTTCCCCCCAACCAGCCAGTCGGAGGCGATGACCACGCCCTGGTGGCTCTTGAGGGATGTCAGTGGGACGCGGATGGTGGGGCAGTCGCTGGACACATCCCCATCGAGGTCGGGCTCGTCCTTGTCAGAGCACTCTACTTCATCTTCCCCAGATATCTGCTGCCAAAGGGAAGGCCAGAAAAGAAAGACATTTCCTGGAAATCTTGAGTTTCTTCTGACATAGCTACAAAATAGATGGTTCTCATTAATCTCTTGAGGACATATCCATCATGATGGTCACCACTAGGAGCCTGGTGCTGGCCACAGTGATGAGTATGTCCTCCTCTGACCCATAACTGCTGCCCGTGAACACCCATCAACTCTACGACCATCTCGTACAGAAAAAAAAGTGGAATCCACAACATTGTCAACCGAACTACCATTTATTTCCACGCATCAACAGAATGGCAAATAAAATGATTTTCAACATTTAAGCTTTCATCAGTTACTAGTAGAAATGCAATATAAAACTAACCAAATACAAATGAAAGTCAGTAATTTATCACATTACAAAAAGGCATTTTCATTCTCAAGAGCCTATTTAAAATATACTTGGAATTCTATTGCTATAGTCATAAGAGTCTATTTTCCTTTGTAACATCAAGCCCCCTGTCAAAGGCCAAGGCTAAAACAAACACATTACAGCCAGCTCTGTAAGAAAATCTGTATATTCATCCAACAAATATTTATCAGGGGGTGACAGAGTGCCAGTCCCCACCCCCAGCCCAGGTGCTGCTTACACAATGCAGAAGAGGACAGACGGCTTCTGACATGCACACATGCAAAACTACGCTCAATCTAGCAGGTAGGAACTCTGGAGTGAGGACCCCTGGTAAAGCCCCTGCCCTCAGAGAACTTCTGTTCTAGCAAAAGAGAGAGACCACACACACACACACCCGTTAGTATGGAGAGGTATGTCATATATACACAAGTACTAGTACTGGAACTGATAATTTGGAAATTTGTCCCAGCCCAAATCTCATGCTGAACTGGAATCCCCTGTGTTGGAGGCCGGGCCTGGTGGGGGTGTCTGGCTCATGGGGGAGGATTCCTCATAGCCTGATGCTGACCTCACAATAGTGGGTGAGCTCTCAAGAGATCTGGCTGCTTGGATGTGGGGCACCCCCCGCCCCCGCCTTACTCCTGTTTCCATCACATGACGCCTTCTCCCGCTTCGCCTTCTGCTGTGAGTGAAAGCTCCAAGCTCCCTGAAGCCTCCCCAGAAGCCAAGCAGATGCTGGTGCCACGCTTCCTGTACAGCCTGCAGAATCAGCCAATTAAACCTCTTTTCTTTATAAATTACCCTGTCTCAAGTATTTTTTATAGCAATGCAAGAATGGCCTAACACAGGCACGTCATGAGCACATATACATTACTAGGGAATGCACGTCACAGGGACGCACAGCAGCACGGGAACGCACGTCACAGGGACGCACAGCGGCACGGGAACGCACGTCACAGGGACGCACAGCGGCACGGGATCGCACGTCGCAGGGACGCACAGCAGCACGGCAACACGTCACATGGACACACAGCCGCACGAGAACACGTCACAGGGACGCACAACAGCAAGGGTTCCCACGTCACAGGGACGCACAGCAGCACGGGAACACACGTCACAGGGACGCACGGCAGCACGGAAACATGTCACATGGACGCACAGCAGCAAGGGAACGCACGTCACAGGGACGCACAGCAGCAAGGGAAAGCACGTCACAGGGACCCAGGGCAGCACGGGAACACATATCACATGGATGCAGAGCAGCACGGGAACACAAATCAACATGGAGACACAGAGTAAGGTGGTAGTAACTTCTATGAAGTAAAATAAAACAGGACAAGGGGCAGCTGGATGGGGGCGCTATTTCACACAGAATTACTGAGGAGGGACTCTCTGATGAGGTCGCACGTGAGTCGGATGTGAGGAAAGGAAAGGTTAAGTAAGGCTCGCCCGGGCTGAGGAACAACATTCCCGCCATGTGCGGAACAGCTACGGGAGGCAAAGTCGGGAACAGCTCCTGTAATCCCGGGAGACTGGAAAGGACACCAGGTTTTATTCCGTGTGATGCAAAATCACCAGACGGCTGTCGGCAGGATGTGATGCCCGGTGTGTGCTGTGTGAACAAACTGCGGAGGGAACAGTGGAAGGGGCTGCTATGGGCAGAACTGTGGACCCAAATTCCTGTGTCGAAGTCCTCACCCCAGGACCTCAGAATGGGGCTGTTTGGAGAAAGGGGCTTTAAAGAGATAATTAAGGTAAAATGAGACCAGGAGAGTGGATCCTATTCCAATAGGACTGACATCCTTGTAAGAAGAGATGAGGACACAGACACTCCCAGAGGGATGAAGGATCCAGGAGAAGACGCCATCTATGAGCCATGGAAAGACGCCTCAGGAGGAACCAGCCCTGCTCACACCCTCATCTCGGGCTTCCAGCCTCCAGGACTGTGGGAACACGGATCTGTTGTTTAGAACACGGATCTGTTGTTCAGAAGTCACCCTGCCTGTGGCACTTTGTTATGGCAGCCCCAGAAAACAACGGGGGAGACGGACAGGAGATGAGAGAAGTGCAGGGAGGGCGGCCTGGAGCAGGGTGGGAAGAAAGAACTGAAGCGCCCTCTGCTGCAGGAGTGGCTGACAGGGTGATTTCCACAGGCAGTAAGAGAACAATACAGGCGTTCAGACGGTGGAAAGGTGTTTGGTCTAAAGCACTGGGTGACAGGGACGTTTCCTGAGACGGGTGGCACAAGGAAAGGAACACCCAGAGACAGCAAGTTCAGGGTGGCACGTGCAGCTCAGTCGGGACGGGGGGCCCGAGGCTCACAAGGCTGGCAGAGGCCCCCAGACAGGCTGCAGCAGGGGGGTACTCGGTACGTCACCTTGAAGGCAGGGGGTGATGGGTGACAGCACTGCACGTGGCTGGGAAAACGGCTCTGGAGGGAGCACAGCAAAGAGCCAGGAGCAGCCACGGGGTGAACCCCTCAAAGAAGAAAAAGAAGGCTGAGGAAGTTAAACGAGTAACTCAGTGTAACCTAACTCACATGTGACAGTCATTCTGTTGGTCTAAGTCTGTTTCCACTACGCCACCCAAACGCTTCCTTATCAACACTGTGGATGTCAAGCAAAACTCACAGATGCAAATTTTAAAACACAAGACGTTTGCCCAAAAGCTATAATGATTCAAGATGAACACAGATTTTAACAGATTAGAGTTTGTGTTAAAATTGAAAATTAGAACTGCTAAGCAAATCAGAGTCAACACTGGCCGGCAAAAGCTTCAGAAAACAAAACTGCTTTCCACCTAAGGAGCCTCATTTCATCCAGTAGTGCTGGAAGGAGCCTCCCACGCCATTTCTGCAGGGACCTGGCCGTCCACAGGCTGCACTGCCTCCTCCTTATTAGGGAGGGCCCAACACAACTGTGTGTGCAGTGCTCCCAGGACAGCTCAAGTCACAGCACATCACAGAGGTTCATCTTTAACTCAGAACCCCCAACACCAGCCCCAAATCTTGAGGTGGCAGCTATCAATATGAGAAGTGCACTCACCCAACACAAGCAAAGTAGTAAAGAAGAAAATAAAATTAAGTGAACATTCTAAGTAAACTATTAGGTGTTTTTAATGTAAGTACTGGACATGAATCTTCCCTCTCACAAAATTAGTGTTTTTCTTATTTTATTTGGAAAACAATCCATACATTAACTCCTTTGAATTTCCTGAGCATCAATGCTCACCCTCCTCACCTCTCCACCACGCCCACCATCAGTGCACATTTTGAATTTCCTGAGCATCAGTGCTCACCCTCCTCACCTCTCCACCACTCCACCACGCCCGCCATCAGCGCACATTTTGAATTTCCTGAGCATCAATGCTCACCCTCCTCACCTCTCCACCATGCCCGCCATTAGTGCACATTTTGAATTTCCTAAGCATCAATGCTCACCCTCCTCACGTCTCCGCCACACCATCAGTGCACACGCTGAATTTCCTAAGCATCAATGCTCACCCTCCTCACCTCTCCACCACGCCCACCATCAGCACACATTTCACTTGTTTCATCACTAAATGTGCGTGTTAGTGGACAGTGTTATGCGCTACATAATGAATAGTCTGGCAATTCCACAAAGAGAACAAAACTGTGTTAATACACAATACATGCAGTTAAAAATGAACTATGATAACCTCTATTAGGACTAAAGAAAACTCATTTATCACTGGAATTTATTAACTGCTTAACTATCTCCACATAGAACAGTGTTTAGAATGTTCACAAAGCAGAAAACTCAAGGAATATTCCAAGATGAAAATATCAAAACTAGATTACTTTCATCCTTGCAACAATCACAGCCCAATACAAACTGAAACTTCTAGACGTGGACGTCATTTACACTGTCTGCCTGGCACTGTTCCCACCTGTTCAGGCACCGAACTGGGGGGGCTGAGCACGTGGGAAGATCACGCCACTAACATTTATCCTGTCATTGAAACTAGGGAGATAACTGCTCTCAGAGAAACATTCAGGCCTCTTTGTGATCATAAACATAGGGCACTGGGCTACTGCAGAGAGCACAAGGCAAACAGTAAGTGAAGAATTTTATGAATTTATGGTATAAATACATGAATTCATTCTTCTCAATACACATCTTTTGTTACCTACGTTTAAATGTGAACCACATAAAATTGATGTCATAAAGGCCATTAGTTGATGTGATGATAAACGTCCATGAAAGATACACCAGATGTCTAATATTAAACAGATGAAACAGTGAGAAACAGGATCCAAACATCAACTGTAAGAGAGTGGACGGTAAATGTTTACTGTCTGTTGAAAGGAAGGATGGAGCAGATGCATGCATACAGAGGTGAAGGAGCATCTTTCTAGGCACTGTCTCATTCAACGCAGGCTGCCAAAACACAAGACTACAGGCCAAAAGGCTTCAAAAACAGAAATTAGTCATCTTCCAGTTCTGGAGACTCTAAGTCCATGACCAACGTGTCAACCAGTGCAGCTTCTGGTGAGTCCCCTCTTCCGGTGTGTGGCACCGCCATCCTGCCGCGTGCCCACAGGGGCTCTTCTATTAATATTAGCACAGAGAGGCTGGGCACGGTGGCTCACGCCTGTAATCCCAGCACTTTGGGAGGCCGAGGAGGGCGGATCACGAGGTCAAGAGATTGAGACCGTCTGGCGAACGTGGTGAAACCCCATCTCTACTAAAAATACAAAAATTAGTTGGGTGTGGTGACACGCATCTGTGGTCCCAGCTACTCGGGAGGCTGAGGCAGGAGAATCCCTTGAACCCGGGAGGTGGAGGTTGCAGTGAGCCAAGATCACGCCACTGCACTCCAGCCTGGGCAACAGAGCGAGACTCCATCTCAAAAAAAAAAAAAAAAAAACGGACAGATGGGGAGGGGGTAGAAAGAGAGCGTGCACACACAAGGGCAGCCATAAGGGTGAGCTGTCTGGTGTCTCTTCTGACAAGGACACACTCATCCTATGGGATCAGGGCATCCCCTCCACTACCTCATTTTGCTTTAACCACTTTCTCAGAGGCCCCATCTCCAAATACAGCCACACTGGGGGTTAGGGCTTCAACACAGATTTCTGGGGGACGGAGACATTCAGTTGAGAACATCCTGTCCCTGGCCTCCCCCAAATTCATATCCTTCTTGCATGGCAAATACAGTCATCCCATCCCAACAGCCCCAGAAGTCTTATTCCAGCATCAGCGCTAAGGTGTGAAGTCCCAAGTCTCAACAAAACATCACCTGAATCAGGACTGGGTGGGACTCAGAGTGCGATTCGCCCACCCTGAAGCTGAGCTCCCCTCCAGCCGTAAACCACGGAACCCAAACAAGTTACATGTTCCCAAAATACAACAGTAGGGCAGGCACTGGACAGACGCTCCCTTTCCAAAAGAGAGAAAGAGGCAACAGGGAAAGGGTGGTGGGGCCCAAGCAAGTCCAAAACCCCACAAGGCAAACTCCACGAGCTCTTCAGGCTCCAGAGAGTCCCTCTTGGTCTGGATGCGCCACCCTCCAGGCATGCTGGGGCAGAGGTGTCACCCCCTTGGCTCAGCCTGGCAACCCCACCCCCACAGCACTGGACCATGGGCAACCTGGCCCTGAAACCAAGGAGGCTCCCACACTTCGAAACCAAGGAAGAAACAGGCTCTTGTCCTGGGACTGCAGTGAGAGCTGCAGCCCTGCCAACCTCAGAATCACCTTCGGGGCATTCTTCCCTCATCTTGAAGGGTGGTAAAGGTTCTCGCCCAGGCAGCTCTGGTTTCTGTGCTGTGGAATCCCAGCAGTCTGATGCCTTCCTTCATTCTGTCCCCACCATGTCCCCTCTGGTTCAAGCTGGCGGGGTCTCTGGGTATAATCCCATCTCCAGTCCTGGATCCTGCTGCGGTGGGTGCTTAAAGCTGTGGCTCCCACCCACACTCGCCTCCCTGTCAACTGGCTGTTCAGACAAACCCTGCATGTGCTCTTCGGAACCAGCTTTCTCTTTTTTTTGTCACAGACACAGGCTGGGAATTTCCCAAATCTTACAAGTTCTCGTCCCCTTTCCCTTAACAACTCTTTCGGAGTATCTCCGTCCTTTCACACTTTATTGTAAGCGAGGAGAGCAGCCAGGCTGCACCTTTAACATTTCATTCACAGGATCTCAGCTCAGCCAAGTCCTCAGCCATTTTGTAATGAGGATCACTTTCTTCCGGTTCCCCGTGACCTGTCCCTCGCCTCCTCTAAGCCTCAGCAGAAAGGCCTTCAACATCCACTTTTCCACAACATTCTGTCTATGATACCTGCATTCTCTGAGATGCTAGAAGCTTTCTCTCCAGCTCTCCCCTTTCCTCTCTGAGCCTTCACCCGAGTCCCCATTGATGTCCGTATTTCTACCAACAAGCTCTTCGCCGCTATGGAGGCTTTCTCCAGCAGGTCCCTGAAAACGTCTGCAGCATGTACCCATTCCCGGTCCCGAAGCCAGGTCCACACCGTCGGCATTTCTCCAGCAGCCCCCGCTCTGCGCGCGGTACTGAAATCTGTCTCAGTTGGCTCTGGCTGCCGCAACAAAAGGCCGCAGACCGGGCGACGCATAAAAAACAGACATTTATTTTCTCACAGTGCTGGAGGCTGGAAGTCCAAGATCAAGCCAATTCAGGTTCTGGTGCGGGCTCATCCTTAAAGACGGCCGCCCTCTGGCTCTGCTCTTACGTGACACGGAGAGTGACAGAGAGATTGAGAACACAGGTGAGCTCTCCACTGTCTCCTCTTATGAGGACCTCACGCAACCTCACTGAACCTTAACTACTACCTTAGAGGCCCAATCTCCAAATTCAACCATACCGGGGGTGAGGCCTTCAACACTGAACTTGGGGGGACACAAACATTCCGTCCATGACAGATATCATAAATGGATTCTCAGATTCGCAGACATCAGCATCCTACACATTCACAGGTAAGGAAAGGTGCTTACACTAGTGTCAGCAACAGGCTGGGGTGTCGGCAGCTGCACCGCGTATCTCCAGATATGAGCAGTCTGATCTCCAGAAGCTGAAGAGAGAAATCGGGGAAAATTACCCAAGGCACAGACCATGGTAAAATGCGCTCTTCACCGCCACTATGGCTAAGCAGCAGCAGTCAGACCTTTCCAGCTTAGTGACCACTTAGTGAGAGGAATGTACTTTTTACTTAAATAACTCTTTTCTGAGACTGCATAATGCTATTGAAAATAGAGTACATGTCCAAAATTGAGGAAATAATGATTACTTATAAAACTATTTCACCTTTCATTTTAGCATAGAAAGTCCTGGAAGTTCAGAGAAAATGTACAAATAGTAGATTTTCCTCTCCATCTATCTAACCTAAGAAACCCTATCATATCAGAACTTACAGCTGCAATCAACTCTGAGACGTTCGGGAAAGCGACACTCATCTCCATCCATTCAACACACACGCGGCCTTTCAATGGGCCAGGCACCTATCAGCACTGCTCATGTGTGCGGCTCCCGTCCCACTCTGTTTTCAGCAGCCAGTTTGCGAGGAAACGCTTTGACTGAGGATTGGAAAGACAAAAGGACAGCACTGCGGGGCACAGAACAGGCCTCGGACACCAGCATGGCCACCTCTCACCCACACACGGGCAGGCTGGCTTCCACCTTCTCTTCACTGCCACCCAGCTTCTCTAAAGGAGCTGCTCTGAGCTGATGCAGCACATTTGATGCAAATGAATGTACTGCCCGGACTTGCAACTCCTCCTCAAATCAACATCATGCCCAATCCCAGTCTAACTCTCCTCTCTCCATGCCCGTTACCTCACGTTTCCCCTCTAACTCTCCTCTCTCCATGCCTGTTACCTCACGTTTCCCAGTCTAACTCTCCTCTCTATCCCCATTACCTCACATTCCCAGTCTAACTCTCTCCTCTCTATGCCCATTACCTCCAGTTTCCAAGTCTAACTCTCCCCTCTCCATGCCCATTACCTCACGTTTCCAAGTCTAACTCTCCTCTCTCCATGCTCGTCACCTCACATTTCCCAGTCTAACTCTCCCCTCTCCATGTTCATTACCTCATCTTTCCCAGTCTAACCCTCCTCTCTCCATGCCCATTACCTCACGTTTCCAAGTCTAACCCTCCTCTCTCCATGCCCATTACCTCACGTTTCCCAGTCTAACTCTCCTCTCTATACCCATTACCTCATGTTTCCCAGTCTAACCCTCCTCGCTATCCCCATCACCTCACGTTTCTCAGTCTAACTCTCCCTTCTCTATGCCCATTACCTCCTGTTTCCAAGTCTAACTCTCCTCTCTCCATGTTCATTACCTCATGTTTCCCAGTGTAACTCTCCTCTCTATCCCCATTATCTCACATTTCCTAATCTAACTCTCCCCTCTCTATGTCCATTACCTCACGTTTCCAAGTCTAACTCTCCTCTCTATCCCCATTACCTCATGTTTCCTAGTCTAACTCTCCCCTCTCTATGTCCATTACCTCATGTTTCCAAGTCTTCATCAGTTCCTGGATGTGTCTGGTTCCACCCTCTTTTCCAGCCCTTTGGTTTGAATCTGGACACGTCTAATTGCCACCAGTCTCCTTGCTCCCTTTTCAATCATCCCACAAACCGCCAACTTCGTAAGGTGTAAACTCCTTGTCTGCTTTAGTCTTCATCCACGTATGAAGGTGAAAGTCAGCTATGTGGTCTGGGCCTGCTCAAAATGACTCTCAGGCTAACCCTCCCACCACATTTCTCTCTCACATAGAAACTCCAACCAAACCGCATGACTCGCTGCATCCCACACACTGGAAGTACCTGTTGCTGGGGCTCCTTCTTAAACAACTCCACCTGCATGAAGGGGCCAGTCATCTCAACCTCAGTGTTCTATTCCTGCGTCAGCACAATTTGGCCCATAGGCGAAACCCAGACAGCCGCCCACTTTTGTGAATAAGTGGACACAGCCATGTCCACTCATCAGTGCACTGTCCGCTGCTTTTAGGCTGCAAGAGCAGAACTCAGTACTGGCGACAGAGCCTGAATGTCCCGCAAAGATGAAAATATTCACTGCTTACTCCTTTACAGAAAAATCATAAGGACCTCTGGTCTACTGAAAGCCTACACACATCCTTCGAGATCATCACCAATGTCCCTGGGCTATCATGGGGATCTGTGGGGGTCTGACAATCTCACAGGAAAAGTCCTCAGTACTGTAAGGCTACCCTCGAAAAAGCGACCAAGGAAGGCACGTTTTTAAAACTACTCTGAAATTATAGCAAATCCAAGCTACCACGGGTTAGATAAATTACCCAGAAAGAAGTAAAAATGCTGACATTGGCAACTTGCTGTGTCTCTGTGCTACTTTTCTCTTTTCCTCCATATCAGATGCCTACAATCTAAGGGAACAGAATGGTAACCACAGGGCCTCAAGGAGCTCCGTCTACAGGAACTGCGGGGGGAGCAGCAAACATACTGATGCTGTACGGAAAGGCTTCGAGAAGACCGTGAAGCCATCTTCATCTCACAATAAATCCAACTGCTTATCCACTACTGTCTCTAGAAAGTACTGCTCAATGTATTTTCCTTTATCCATTTCTCATTTAATTCATAAAATGTCTACTAAAGATTAACTTTCATAAAAGCCATGGATTATTCTGCTACGATAAGAAAGGAATATTTATAGTTGTTTTAAGACCATCTATCATTTTGTTCAATAAAGAAAAAAATCAACATACCAGTGAGAGCCAACTGCTCTGAGGGATGAAATTTGATAGAATTTACTGCAAAATAAAAATATGATAAAAACAGGTTTAAAGTGACAAAAACATGTTATCAACATTTATTAGCTATAGCGTGTATTTCAAAGTCAACATTAAAAGAACTATGAGTTCAATATTTGATCCTCCACTCAGTTAAGTTATAAATAAATGTGTGAATTAGAACACAGGCACAATAAAAACAACTAAGGTATGAACCACCAAATCGCTATAGTTTAGGACCCCAGGAAAAGGATATTCATCATCTAGTTCTTTTTATAGACAAAGATGTCATTTTTAGCTAAAAATAAATCAGGATTAAAAAAAAGAAAACATAATTATGACAACGGGTGAAGACAAATTATAGTGTGGCAGACACAATTTATTACCATAAGCCCCGCCCCATCCGCCTTCCTTCCCAGCCTAAGGACCCCAGTCTGTTCTGTGACTAGTAGAGACGCCAGGACCCCAGAGAGTATAACCTCTGCCAGCCTCAGAGAATGAATCAGGACTGGGTTACACAGTCTATGATGTCCTCCCACTTTCCTTACAAAAGGGGTATTTGGCAGAGGTCTTCTTTTTTTTTTTTTTTTTTTTTTTTTTGTGAGATAGGGTCTTGCTCTGGTTGCCTAGGCTGGAATGCAATGGCACGATCTCAGCTCACTACAGCTTTGACCTTCAAGGCTCAGGTGATCCTCCTACCTTAGCCTCCCAAGTAGCTGGGACACAAGAATGTACCACCACACCTGACTAGTTTGGGGTTTCTTTGTATTTTTAGTAGAGACAGGGTCTTGCCATTTTTAGTAAAGACAGGGTCGGGCCAGACGCACTGGCTCACGCCTGTAATACCAGCACTTTGGGAGGCCGAGGCGGGCAGATCACGAGGTCAGGAGATCGAGACCATGGTGAAACCCCGTCTCTACTAAAAATACAAAAAATTAGATGGGCACTGTGGCAGGCGCCTGTAGTCCCAGCTACTTGGGAGGCTGAGGCAGGAGAATGGCATGAACCCAGGGGGGCAGAGCTTGCAGTGAGCCAAGATCCGCGAGCCACTGCACTCCAGCCTGGGCGACAGAGCGAGATTCCGTCTCAAAAAAAAAGAGGGTCTTTTGTATTTTTAGTAGAGACACGGTCTTTTGTATTTTTAGTAGAGACCGGGTCTTGCCATGTCGTCCAGGCTGGTCTCAAACTCCTGCCTACCTCGGCCTCCCAAAGTGCTGGGATTACAGGCGTGAGCCACCGCACCCAGCCAGAGGTCTGAGGAAGCTATCATTTTCTTTTTTTTTTTTTTTTTTTGAGACGGAGTCTCGCTGTGTCTCCCAGGTTGGAGTGCAGTGGCGCGATCTCAGCTCACTGCAAGCTCCGCCTCCCAGGTTCATGCCATTCTCCTGCCTCAGCCTCCCAAGTAGCTGGGACCACAGGCGCCCGCCAACACGCCCGGCTAATTTTTTCTATTTTTAGTAGAAACGGGGTTTCACCGTGTTAGCCAAGATGGTCTCAATCTCCTGACCTCGTGATCCGCCCGTCTCGGCCTCCCAAAGTGCTAGGATTACAGGCGTGAGCCACCGCGCCCGGCCTATCATTTTCTTGAAAAAGGAGCAGGAGACCCTGGCACTTCACCTTCCCCCTTGCTCCTGTCTTGAATGTAGACAGAATAGCTTGACATGTGGTCAGCAAGACCACAAGCACGCACATAAATGCCAGCATTGAACACAGAGCCCGGCTCCACAGGCCTGACCTAGTCTGGAGCCCACACTGCCCACCTGGGATGTTCCCAAAGCAAACGACAGGAATTGGGATGGGGTGAGCTACCATCAGTCAGCACCAGTCAGCAGAGCAAAGAGCTGACTCCTGTCACTCTGGGGACACCAACCCTTATTTCCACCCCTTGTGAAGAAAATGCATGTCCCTAACGTAGAACATATAGGAAATTTGACCAAATCTGAATAGGTTATCTCCTTAACAAAATGTTGGTAGCTATACCATTAGAATTATATTTTTCTAAGGAACTAAATGAAAAATGCTAGAAGATAGCCTCATTATTAATATTAAAATACAGATAACTGTGGGAAAAACTGGTGGAAACCGTGTACACTTATAAGCAATAAACTTAAGCACTCAATGGAGCTAAAACCAAACGATCACTAGACCCACTAACAAATAGTATTAATGCTTCCAATTTCGATGAGAAATTTTGGTAAGATCAATCATCAATTTTCACTTTATTATGTCTATCCCAACCCTCAGCTAATCACAAACGAAGCTGGGCCACTGTGAGGTGTGGGTGGAAGGCACCACACCACAGAAGGAGGGGTAGGGCAGGCAGGCACATGGTGACGGGAGCTGTGGAGGCAGTTGCTTCGCAGCACTGCTCACCCACTCAAAATAGTGTGAAAACTGACCCCTGATCTTACAAAATCGGCACAGAATCATGTTGGGGTTAGGATGAAAACCACGCCTGTATAACGAGGCCCTCGAGAGAGCTCAATCACCCCCGGTCACCTTCCATAGTGGACGGTCAACAGGCCGGCTGGAGCAGGAAGGCCGGGGCAGCACGTGAGCCATGATTTAAAGGCGCAGCAGCAGAATCCATGGGCACCTGACCCAATCCACAGTGGCCACGAGGGGAGCAGAAACGGGGATGCCAGCCACGGCTACCCTTCATCCAGTGTCAAAGGCACTGGCTCCTTCCATCACGTGCACATTTAACTGTCATAAAATTTAAGCTGAAATCTAAAGAGAGAAGAACAAAGGGGACAACAACCTCTGCCACCAGTGTCACCTCTGCCTCTGAGAGGCGCAGACACAGTGAAACTGGGACCCTCACCCATTTTCCTCTCCTGGGGGCCAGAGCGGGGAGTCTGCTGTTGGGCATTGTGCTCAGAGGACCCAAGAGGAAAGAGGCAGAGTGTGATTCAGGGTCAAGACCATCTCCTTGTAGAGTTGTACTGATTCAACTCCCACCAGCCCCACCACTCCCTTTAGTTAGGTCAACTTAAGAGATCAAAACATCTCCAGGCCGGGCACGGTGGCTCACACCTATAATCCCAACATTTTGGGAGGCCGAGGCGGCTGGATCACCTGAAGTCAGGAGTTCAAGACCAGCTTGACCAACATGGTGAAACCCCACGTCTACTAAAAATACAAAACTTAGCTGGGCGTGGTGGCATGTGCCTGTACTCCCAGCTACTCGGGAGGCCGAAGCAGGAGAATCCTTTGAACCAGGGATGCGGAAGTTGCAGTGAGCCGAGATCCTACCACTGCACTCCAGCCTGGTGACACAGCAAAACTCCATCTCAAAAAATAAATTAATTAAAAATAAATTTTAAAAAAATACAAAATTTAGCCAGGCGTGGTGGCGGGCACCTATAATCCCAGCTACTCGGGAGGCTGAAGCAGGAGAATCGTTTCAACGTGGGAGGCGGAGGTTGCAGCAAATGAAGATTGCACCACTGCACTTCAGCCTGGGTGACATAGTGAGACTCCGTCTCAAAAAAAGAAAAATCCCCTAGTGGAAAAACACAAACACAAGTCCCCAGGAGGAAGAGGAGAGACACACGCAACACGACAACGTGCCAGAAACACAGGCGTCTTCTCCCCTCTCTGACACCTCTCTAAATGCAGAAGGCATCCTGGAAGAAACAGGAACAGACCCACAAAGAAAGAACTAAAGAGACGATGAGCGAAGAGACGACACCGAATACTGGAGGCCAGAAGAGCAGATGGTGACGGTGAGTGAGTGAACACAGGAAGGTTGAATTGCGGGTGAGCACGGGAAGGCCGAACTGCGGGTGAGCACGGGAAGGCCGAACTGCGGGTGAGCACGGGAAGGCTGAATTGTGGGTGAGCATGGGAAGGTTGAATTGTGGGTGAGCACGGGAAGGCTGAATTAACCTGCGTGAAGAACGGAAAGCCAATAAAAAACACAAGCCAGGCACAAGAACAGGAAGAGACTTCTTCCTGCTGGGACAAGGCAGCCTCTGTGGATCCACTCAGACCCCCTAGTGGAATTAATTATAAAAGCTGCAGATAAACAGCAAAAAATAAACACAAGGCTTGAAGTCATCATGGAAGCCCTGAGGCCCCCAGGCCCAGAGGCCCCAGAGGGAAGCACTGGAAGCCCCACTAGCTGACGCACTCCCTCAAGGCACAGAGACCAGCCGGAGCGAGGGTGCAGTCCAGACGTGAGCGGCCGTGACAGGAACTGAGGCTGGATCCCTCAGAAGAGGCAGCCAGGAAGGAGCGGGCCAGCTGCTCGCCTCCCCCAGGCACTGACAGCACCTAAACTGGGCATGAGGGCGGACACCAAGCAGAAAGCAGCCTCTAAGAGCTAACACGGAGAGGACTGGCAGATGAAACTAAAGCTCAGGGCCTGTGAAGACACACCCTTGAAGGACAACTCCCTTAGAACAAGGGAAAGCGAGAGGAACAGCAGAACCCCTAAAGCCTGAAACCCACCGGCCACCAACCCTTAAGTCAATCAAGGCTTGCCGTCCACTCTATCTGCTGGCCAAGGGAAAATTAAATCCCCTCTAGAGAACAGAAATGACTATGCGTGTATGTACACGTCTATGTGTGGATGCAGGCATACCCCGTTTTATTACCCTTCACTTTACTGTGCTTTGTAGGTACTGGATTTTTTACAAATTGAGGGTTTGTGGCAACCCTGCGTTGAACACCTAATTGCCACGATTTTCCCAACAGCATGTGTTCACTTCACGTCTCTGTGACACACGCTGGTAATTCTTGCAATATTTCAAACTTTTTCTTTTTTTTTTTTTAATTTCTTTTTGCCAGCACCTTGACCTTGGATTTTTGCATTATTATTATGTCTGTTAATAGTGACCTGTGATCTCTGATGCTACCATTGTCATTTTGGGGAGAGGCACAAACCACACCCACATAAGACCACAAACTTACTCAATAAATGTTGTGGGAGTTATGACTGCTCCACCAACCAGCCTTTCTCTCATCTCTCCCTCTGCTCAGGCCTCTCTACTCCGAGACAAAACAATACTAAAATTAGGCCAATTCATAACCCTACAATGGCCTCTAAGTATTCCAATGCAAGGAAGAGTTGCACATTGCTCCCTTTAAATCAAAAGCTAGAAATGATTAAGCTTAGTGAGGAAGGCAAGTCAAAAGCTGAGACAGGCTGAAAGCTGGGCATCTTGCACCAAACAGCCAACTTCTGAATGCAAAGGAAAAGTTCTCGAAGGAAAGTAAGAGCACTATTCCAGTGAACACACAAATGACAAGAACGCCGATACACAGGAAGTTTGAGTGGTGGGGACTGATTAAACCAGCCACAACATTCCCTTTAGCTGCAGCCTAATTCAGAGCAGGGCCCTGACTCTCAATTCCCTGAGGGCTGTGAGAGGTGAGGGAGCTGCGGAAGAAAAGCTGGAAGCTGGCAGAGAGTTGTTTATGAGGTTTAAGACACCGTCTCCACAACATAAAAGTACAAGGTGAAACAGCAAGTGCTGATGGAGAAGCTGCAGCAAGTTCTCCAGAAGATCCAGCTGAGCTCATTGGTGAAGATGGTTACTCTAAACAACAGGTTTTGAATGCAAACAAACAGCCTTATATTGGAAGAATATGCTGTCTAGTACTTTCCTAGCTAGAAAGGAGACATCCATGCCTTCGAAACTTCAAGGGACAGGCTGACTCTTGTTAGGGGCGAATGCGGCTGGTGACTTTCAGCTGAAGTCAATGCTCACTTGCCATTTCAAAAATCCCAGGGCCCTTAAGAATTACGCTACATCTCCTCTACCTGTCCTCCATAAATGGAACAACAAAGCATGGATGACAGTACATCTGATGACAGCATTGTTGACTGAGTATTTTAAGCCTACCATTAAGACCTACACCTATCATAATACAACTGGCTCATTGACAACGCACCTGCTCACCTAAGAGCTCTGATGGAGATGTACAAGATGAATGCTGATTTCATGCCTACTAACACAACATCCATTCTGTAGCCCAGGGATCAAGGAGTCATTTCGATTTTCAAGTCTTAAGTTTTTAACCTATGCACATATATTTAATTTTTTTAACGTTTCTGAAGAGGAAATTTGAAGGAGGAAACAGAATACAGCACTCGTTCCTGTAACAGCGTTTTGCTCTACATTTGAGCACCAATCACACACACGCCAGGCACTGCTAGAAAACTGCAGGTGACACTGTGGCACCCCAGCCAGTCTGTGGGATGCCAGGGGAGGAAGACAGGTAAGAAGGCAGCACGGAGGAGGGGGTCTAACACGGGAAAGGCGCCAGCCTGTCTACACACTAAGGGGAAATGTCCAGGGCAAGAAAGAGAAGACACTGTGACAGCAGGAATGGCCAAAGGAGAGGAGGTCCTGGGAAAGGGGAGGGGAAGGCTCCACAGCTCATCAGGGCCCTGTGGACGGGCAGACAGGCGCTCAGAGCCACGGGCCCCACCCACACCTGTCCCTCTGTGCACACAGGCGATGCCACCTCTCAGCCTGGCAGCGTGGAGGTGTGAGGGAGGGCGAGTGAGCAAGTGAAGAGGGCACTGCGGGGGAAGGAACCACACAGCACGTGCGAGAGGAAACAGAAACAAAGTCTGGTCAGGAAACTGGTACACACACAGCTCTAAGTGAAAAGGCAGAAAAGAGCTACGTGAACAGCGTTAACTAACTACATGGACAGCGTTAACTACGTGGACAGCATTCACTCCGTGGACAGCATTAACTACGGGCACGCAAGCACATTCATGGAGTATCCTTTATTGAATACATCCAAGTTATCACTACATCAAAAGTAAACCTCTAAAACAGATATGTATTTTGTGAAAAATAACGCACACATTTCAGTTACAAAATTTCCTACATATGGGTTATATACAATATTAAATAAAATGCAGACTAACATGATATGTACATTGTTTAGGGAGTTAAGCTTTTCCCTGTTATTGAGCCCATACAAGCTCAAGACAGAGTTATCCCAGTCTCTGAACAGACCACACTGTCCCCTGACAACCGAAACAGTAAGGCTTCCTACACAGTAGCAGCTGGCTTTATCATGCACGATTTTAAAAACACACTGGAGAAGGCAACGGCCTCTGGCTACGGCACTCCTTAGGCAGTGCTTACCTGAGCCCACGTGGCCTGCGTACTTGACTAGGCACTTCCCTGTCTCTATGCTCCACAGCAAAGCCGTGTGATCTGCAAGATGGAAATGAAGAAGTCGGAACTTAGCTATCATCAGTTTATAGTTTTTCAAATGAAAGAATAAGACAAATACTCTAAAAATGGGAAATTACACGACCACTGATATCTCTTCCACCTTTGATTCTATTACTCTGTATGCTTCAATTGATCAAAGAAAACATTTCCCAAATGGGAGAAGCTGTGACCTGTCTGAGGCCATGAAGTCAGCTAACGGACAACCAGAGACTCGATTTCCTACTTTACTATCAGGCTGGCTGCATCATGCTGGAAAATGACAGACAGAGGTCGTTCCCATCACAGTTTCATTATTTTATTAAAGTATTAAAATGTTCCAGAACATCTCCCAGAGTTCAAATTCAAACAGCATCCAAATCCAGTTACAACTGTTGAGATAAGCATGTCTTTGGATCTTTGGGTCTTTCTCTTATAGCCATTATTTTTTTAAGTAGATTTAATGGGAAAATCTGAGAAATAAGCACCAATTAGCCAAATGAAATTTCGGAAATATCAGAAAGGACCTTTTTATTCTTTTTTTAAAACTATGATTTCCAAAGCAATCCAAGGCGCTCATCCATGAAAACAGTTTCAAAGGAGAAGCAAGAACTTTCTTCGCTATTCAAATGGTTTATCACATTCACTTCTGCCTCTAAAAAGCAGAGTCCAGTGAGTGATTAACGTCTCACAAGCTGGGACGGCATTTTCAATGAGCATCATTTGTAATTTGAGCAATTTTTATCTCAAGGGGTATTATGCCACCTTAGATAGCTTTCATAAAATATCTTTTTTTAGAGAAAACAAAGGGTCACTTTCCACACTCTGCCCCTGTGATTCTGTGGGCAAACATCTGCTGGGGGAGGCCATCAGCCTCCACTGCTGGCTACGTGCCCAGGTAGTGTTCACTTTCAGTGAGTACCAAACTACTGTCCCTCAACTGCACTCCACTTGTGGGAAAAAAGTCAAATACATCCACAAATCAGAAACACACTTGGCTGTGGATAAGAAAAAGAGGGCCAGGCACGATGGCTCACGCCTGTAATCCCAACACTTTGGGAGCCCAAGGCAGGCAGATCACAAGGTCAGGAGATCAAGACCATCCTAGCTAAACGGTGAAACCCCGCCTCTACTAAAAATACAAAAAAAAAAAAAAATTAGCCAGGCGTGGTGGCGGGCGCCTGTAGTCCCAGCTACTGGGAAGGCTGAGGCAGGAGAATCGCTTGAACGCAGGAGGTGGCAGAGGTTGCAGTGAGCCGAGATTGCGCCACTGCACTCCAGCCTGGGCAACAGAGCGAGACTCCGTCTCAAATAAGAAAAAGAAAACAAATAATTGGAATACTGATTCCTCAACACATTTAAGTTAAATCCATTCCAAACAAGTATTTCTTTCCTCAGATACTTGGTTCACTGTGAGTTGCAACGCCCTACCCACGGGGACCTGGAAAAGACAGGGTGCAGATGCACATCTATTCATGGGAGCATGGAATGCAGGATGCAGCTGGACACCCACCCACGGGACCACAAAATGCAAGGTGCAGCTGCACACCCTCCCACAAGACCACGGAATGCAGGACTTCAGGCCACAACACTAAGCATCACCAAGGGTTAATGTGTGGGGGGTTCCACTGACTCCTCCATGACGCTTTTGCATCTAGGGTTCCTCTGCCACAGAAAAGTGAATGTCCATCACTCAGGGATTAAGCACAGCCATGCTTCCGCAGGCTGGCCAGGTCCGTGTGCGACTCACCGGCTGATGCAGTCCCGAGCACCACTGGCTGTGTCTTGGCCACGCTGACATCCCAGATGCCGTCCCGGTGGCCGATGTACTCCTTCACGAGCTGGCAGGCAGCTCTCGATGTCGTGGTCTTAAAGCTGGAGACAATCTGAAACCAAGATGGGGAGTCTTGTGAAACAATTTACTGAAGTAAATTTTTCTAAGTCAAGAAAGAGAAAACGAAAAAGACGTCTTGGAAAATGCACAAATCACTGACTAGGACAGTTAAAGCATCAAGGAACACAGCGCAAGTGTGAGCTGAAACGCCCTGCGTGGAAAGGGTGGCGGGTTCAGCTCATATCACAGAGAATGCGTGCAGCTCTCGCGGCGACCTGTGCAGGCTCCCCCACCTCAGTCTGACAGCCAGGCATGGAAGGTCTCACTGCAGAAGGGTGGATTTAGGTGTTTCAGGTCCTCTCCCCCAAACCCAAACCATGAGACAAAATTTCCAAATTCTTAAACAAATCGTTAGCTAGCCACTCAGATACAAAAAAGTCAGGAAGGACATCCCAAACCCTTAACTTTAGCTAATGACACTGATCGCTGTACATGTTCACATTTTGCTGTTTTTGAGAATTTACACCAACCACGTATCATCAAGTGTAAAAAAAGCCTGTGGTGGGGAGGAATCAAAAGACGACACTAATAGGTGTGCCGGTTTGCCCGAGACTTGGCGCTCGCTCAGAACAGGCACCAGCTATGAGGATGCAGGGCAGCGCGGCCGTAGGCCCCTGGCCTTTTGGACATGCTCAGCCCAGCAGGAGACAACGCGAACACATCACGGACCACAGAAAGGCATCGTCTCGAATGACGACACACACAGCAGACAGTTCTCATGCCCTCTTGTCAGGAAAAATATGAAGTGAGTGAGGAAGAAACTAATTCAACACAACGATTTCTGCAGAGTTTGCTTTTTAAATTTTTCTTTGGTAAGAAAACAGCTGTCCAGCTGTTAAGTAAATCAGAATAATGTAGACTTTTCAGAATAAAACAAAAAAACTAAGTGAAGAACTAAAATCAGTGGCATTACACAACTTGTTTCAAACACTGATTTGGCATAGCCCTGAAAAACACATCTAAATTCATTCTTCCTAAGACCATAAAGCACAACCCACTGTCACATGGATTTGGGTCCGCACCCTCGAGTTATTCTCCTCGGATACAGTGATATAAAAGGCTGAGGAAGAGGCCAACATTTTCACCAGTAACAGGAAGAACTTCCACTGCAACTGGTCAGAGGAATTGCAAAAGCACTTGTTCAACCTCAAACCCATCATTATCCTCTTTTCTTTCTGAACACTAATATCCTATTCAATCCAGGAAAATTATGCCTCCACAACATGGGAGATGCTTTTGCTTACAGAAAGTGTCATTCAGATGTTAAATAACATTGTAACATTTTAGGAGGGAGTGAAATTAAAGGACACACACAACCTCCCACCATAATAAGCGGTGGTAAATTTCACTTTCCAAGTCTCTCACCATTTCTAACATTAATAACCGTATTGTAGTAAATTTCATTTTCCAGGCCTCTCACCATTTCTAACATAAGTAACAGTATTGTCGTAAATTTCATTTTCCAAATCTCTCACCACTTCTAACATTAATAACAGTATTATAAGAAACAAACTACTAGAGTTACATTCTTCACCTGCTCCATTCGCAGGGTAAGAACAGAGTGGCTCCTTCCCAGAGGCTCTGACTGCACTGCTGCTGGAGCTGTGCTGCTGGAGCTGTGCTGCTGGAGCTGTGCAGGGGATCATGTGCCGTTTTCAAATATTTTCTCATGTGTTGCTTCCAAAATGCCCACTGCACTTTGACCATCTATTACCTTAACTCTTTTTCCTTAGAAAAGCTGACTTAGTCGTCATTACCAAGAGGCCCAACAAAACAGACTGAATTACCTAGAGGGAACGTTCATAACAGAAAAGCAGCAGAACAAAGCCGCAAACTGACGCTCACGCCCATCATCCCAGATCGTTTGAACTGCGGCGCAATCTAAAGCACGGTTGTGAAAATGTTTGCAAATATTTTTGAGAAGATAAGTGTCTTTCTTTGTGGAAAAAGCCCTTTCTGATTTTTATAAGTTTCTTTAAAGAGGGCTGCAGGTTAGACTTCCTCACTTCCCTCCCCCGTAGGCATCAGAAATCTCATTAGCCACCCAGGAAGGGGAAAAACCTCTTCTGCGTTCACGTAACACACTTTTGTGTTCCCGCTATCCCACCAGGCACGTTACTTGCTTTTCGTGGCTCTGGGTCAGAAGGAGGGAAAGTAATAAAGCTAGACTGTAGCCTTTCTCTTGTTGCATTCATGCTTAGCTTTGGCACCAAGAATCCACACTGTAGTACGAATCAGAATATATTCTGTTACCAAATTATTTCTTCAATCTTCAGATGTCTTATATTTTCATAGTTATTTTTTACAATGGGTATGGGCAGTGTGCAAAGGCTATAAAGATCATTAGTAATATGCTTCTTATAAATTCAGATGAATTTCTAGTACCTAAAATGACTGGGCTTTAAATATCTCTAATACATTTTTTAAAGCAAAGCATTACTATACATATCCTTACCCTTGTCCAAATCTTATTTTTTACTGCTCATGGTAAAGGACAACTTTATATAATCATTTCTTCCTCTACTTCAGTAATAATGAGAAAGTTTTGGAATTCCAAGACCATACATTGTATATATACAACTGTACACACCAGAAAAAACAACATAATCCAAGATAATGTAAAAAGAAATTAAATGAGGAAGAACATAATTTCACACTTCATTATGAAGAAAAAGCTTCAAGTTAATTTATTAAAAAGTTCAAAACTTGTAAGTATAAGCTAGACATTACATGGCCAAAAAAAAAATCAAATAAATTAGCAACTTACATTCTAGATGTTATCGAAGGAAAGTACAGTAGAAAATACCAACAATTTCAGATTTTCTTTTGAATAACAAAGAATTACCAAAGACTATCAAGTGAGGACAAACGGCAGAAGGACTAAATTTGCTCTATTAATTGCAGTTAATCTTACTATAGATGTCATGCTAAATTAACTTTAAACTCAAGGAAACAAATTGGAAAAATAAAAAGCTAACAAGAACTACTTACACCATCATAGCAAGATCACTGAAAATTTCAATTTATCTTTGTATCCTTGAAATATGCCAAAGTACAGATGCATACAAAATTACCTCAAAATATCACTTGATAGTAATCCATCACAGACAAATGAATTCCCAAACAATTAAACCCTTTCCACTTTAAGAAGGTCAGCACGAGATACTTTAAGAAAATACAAAAACCATGAACATCCCTATTTGCCTTAGAGACAGACCTTCACTTCCTGATCACACTTAGGAAACTGAGGAAAAGAACATAATGAACTAAAATGTAACTTTAGCTCAGAACATAATTTTCACTAATTTGTACCTATTTATTAGCTTCCTCCAAATTCAGACCCTTTATATTAAGCCAATTAACAAGAGAAATTATATATTCCCTCTAAAGACAATATATTTACTAATACATCATATATTAATCCCTGTAGGTACTAGGGTAAGCTACTATGTAAATGCCTGCATAGTGACATTCTTTTTTTTTTTTTTGGAGTCGGAATCTCGCTCTGTTGCCCAGGCTAGAGTGCGGTGGTGTAAGCTCGGCTCACTGCAACCTCCACCTCCCAGGCTTAAGCAATTCTCATGCCTCAGCCTCTCAAGTAGCTGGGATTACAGGCACCCGCCACCACACCCAGCTAATTTTTGTATTTTTAGTAGAGACAGGGTTTCACCATGTTGTCCAAGCTGGTCTCAAACTCCTGACCTCAAGTGATCCATCCACCTCAGCCTCCCAAAGTGCTGGGATTACAAGCATGAGCCACCATGCCCAGCCAGGACATTCCTTTAAAAAACTAAATTTCCCTTAAAACCATTTATCTTTTTCTGCTATGCCTTTCTAATTGGAAAATAAACAACTTAAAGTACACATCTGCACACCTTAACCACCACATGATGGCTCAAGAGCCAGTGGCCTGCATACCTTGCTGGTGGAAGCCTTGTAAGTGGTCTTCAGTTTCTGGGAGAGCTGGCTGGTGCTGTGACTGGCTGCAGGGACAGAGAGTGACAATCAAACACAATCACACAATCAAAGACCTATAGCCTCACAAATGGGTCTTGTGTCTTGCACAGGAAGAAAGGGGGCCCAGAAAGGCTCGTTTGACCCTAGTGACACAGAGCCATGGCAGAACAGGAACAAGAACCGAGCTCCTTATTCTCCTAGACCCACACCTGAATTAGATAGTTCGAGGTCTGCTGACAGCAAAACGCAAACCAGCCAGCATCCTTCACTAAATTCCAAATTTCCTGCATGTATAATCTGCAGGACAAGACTTTCATGGGATTCACCTTACCTTTTGTTTTGAGTTGGCCCTTACTCAGCTCTGCTCCATCAATCGCTTGTCCTTCAGCAGCTAAACGTTCATTAAGAGTGTCGATTTCTCTACGTACTGGGAAGAAAAAAGTTTTCAAAAATCTAAAGTATGTTTTTATGTTTAAGTGTACTCACCACTTCCAAAACTCGCACACAGAAAAAATGCTATATATTAGTGTTATATAAACAAAGACATGAATAATATTCTAATAAGCAAGATCACAATTCATAGAGTTCTCAAAAAACTAAAGAAACCATTCGAGGCTGGGTGAGGTGGCTCACGTCTGTAATCCCAGCACTTTGGGAGGCCAAGGCAGGTGGATCACGAGGTCAGGAGTTTGAGACCAGCCTGACCAACAGGGTGTCTCTACTGAAAATACAAAAAATAGCCGGGCGTGGTGGTGCATGCCTGTAATCCCAGCTACTCAGGAGGCTGAGGCAGGAGAATTGCTTGAACCCGGGAGGCAGAGATTGCAGTGAGCCGAGATCACGCCACAGCACTCCAGCCTGGACAACAGAGTGACACTCCATCTCAAAAAAAAAAAGAAAGAAAGAAACCATTAGAGATACCATTCCAAAAGTAAAAGCTCACACACTTGCTACACTGTGGAAGACACTGCTATCAGGGTCTCAAAGACAGCACCCGCATTTCAACATAGTTTCCATAGTGATTGATTCTGCACGATTAAAAACATTATTCTGGGCTGGGCACAGTATCTCATGCCTGTAATCCCAACAATTTTGGAGGCCGAGGCAGGCAGATCACTTGAGGCCAGGGGTTCAAGACCAGCCTGGCCAACATGGCAAAACCCCTTCTCTACTAAAAATACAAAAATTAGCCAGGCATGGTGGTGGGTGCCTGTGATCCCAGCTACTTGGGAGGCTGAGGCATGAGAATCGCTTGAACTTGGGAGGCGGAGGTTGCAGTGAGCCCAGATCACGCCACTGCACTCCAGCCTAGGTGACAGAGCAAGATTTTGTCTCAAAAAAAAAAACAAAAAAGTTGAAATGATTTTTCCCTCTATGAATTGTAAAGGTGGACTCTTTAAAAAGGAGAATCCAGTATTAACATTAAAATTTCCAAAAGCAAAGTTTAAATGACAGAGGATTATATTCTCTTCATTATTCATCCAACCACACCACTTAGTTACAGAGTGAAAAACAGCTTAACAATGGAAATGCTCTTTGTTAGTATTCAACCTTTGGAATCAACCTGTAGATAAAGCATGAAAGACTTGATTGTAGTTACATTTGTCTAGTACAAATTTTATAGTTTGGGTGTGGTGGCTCACACCTATAATCCCAGCACTTTGGGAGGCCAAGGTGGGAAGACCACTTAAGCCCAGGGGTTTGAGACCAGCCTGGGCAACACAGTGAGACCCTGTCTTTATATATATAAATTTTACAAACACAAACCCTGAAGGAGAAAAACTGGAAAGTAATAGAGCAGCGCAAAGGACCTGTTTATTTCACTGTGAAGCATTAACACTAAAGCGGATAGATCTAAAACCAGAAGATGATTACTTACATTCACAGGACTAACCACCAAAAGAACCAAAAGCAAAAACATGCAGAAAATGTCTTCCTTTGAAGAGTGCGATGGGCTTGAGGGGTAATGGTAGATTTCTTTTTATACTGTCTGATAAATTTTTAAGCACATATGGCCATTACTTCCAAAATAAAAAAAAGATAAATTAAAGCCAAGCTAATTCAAAATTGTTTTGATTTGTCTTTAATAAGTCAGATATAGTATATGCATCAATTTTCAAATGATGGTATATTAATAAAAAAGTAAATCAATGTTTTCTCAATTTATGGTGTACTTGGTGTAGGGAAAATGATAAGATCCATGTATTTTTTATTTTTTATTTTTATTTATTTACTTTTGAGACGGAGTCCTCGTGGGAATTATACCAGACCCACAGAACTGCAAGATGACAAATCTGTGTTAGTTTAAGCCACTAAAATAAGTTTAAGTTTGCTACAGCAGAACAGAAAACTAATATAGTGATGAATGTCTATTCATAAATTTGACTATGGATAGGTAAAGCTATAAAAGTATATTAAAATAGGAGATACTCACATTCTAAGTTTTCGATATAAAGGTTTTCAAATTCTCTTTCTATTTGACCAAACAGTTCCAGAAGTGTACTGCGAACCGAGGAAGGCAGTTTAGAATCCTGCAGAAGAAGACTTTGTTTAAAATGAATGAATGAATGAAAAACTCTAAGTACAAATATGCTTTTTCCAAAGTGAATTATCTTTTATTGTAAACTCTTATTTTGTATTATTACATATTTTTATATATAAAATGCTTAAAGAGTTTAAAGTTCCAAATTTCTGCCAAGGAGACTATAAATCAAATTGTATAAATGGCTACCTAGTATGATATGGGATTTGAAAATAAACACTCCTTCAAAATAACACAATTTTTCCCTTTACAAGAGAGGACATAAGCCTACCTTATTTTAAAACTTCCAAATTTGGAGAGAAAGGCGGCAGCTCCCATAAATGAACTATTATAAACAGCCTCTGAGTGCCATCATACGCTATCCTACAAGTATTTTAATCTGCTAGACCCTCATGGAAGAGGCACCTTTGCAGAGTTCCCGCCACACCCACTGCACTTTAAGCAAAAGCACAGTCACTCTCCCATCACTCGACATAACACCTAAAAGAGTGTTGTGAAGAGGAAAAAAAGAAAAATTTCACAAAAAAGAGCCAAATGTCTATTAATTGAGTGAAAACATTAACTTTTTATTTCCTGCCCAGGCCACGCTCTTCATGCCTGTGTGTTTCCCGCACCCCTGGGAAGGCGAAGGGAAGGAGCTACATTGTCAAGTGTGGTCCAGCAAGTAAGCAGGTCCTGAGCACCAAACATATCACAGGCACTCACTGCTTGGACCCACCAGTCAACAGGAGCCTGCTAGATACAG
Source organism: Homo sapiens (assembly GCF_000001405.40). Classification (NCBI taxonomy): domain Eukaryota; kingdom Metazoa; phylum Chordata; class Mammalia; order Primates; family Hominidae; genus Homo; species Homo sapiens. The sequence continues at coordinate 1,077,150 of NC_000010.11, read as the reverse complement.
CCATGTGCCACTCCAACCTCCCTGAGGGCATGGCCTATGCACTATTTGGTATGTGTCCCCTACTCCCAACACCCAGAGTAATTTTCAAAAAAATCCCCATCAAATATTTCTAAAATAGTGTTTCAATACTTACCTTTTTTTTTTTTTTTTCGAGACAGAGTCTCGCTCTGTCACCCAGGCTGGAGTGCAATGGTGTGGTCTCGGCTCACTGCAAGCTCCGCCTCCCAGGTTCAAGCAATTCTCCTGCCACAGCCTCCCCAGTAGCTGGGACTATAGGCGTGCGCCACCACACATGCTGGCCAGGATGGTGTCAATCTCCTGACCTCATGATCCGCCCGCCTCAGCCTCCCAAAGTGCTGGAATTACAGGCGTGAGCCACTGTGCCTGGCTGATACTTAATGGGACTTTTCAAATTTACATATAGCATAAACTTTTTTATTCTGATGAGTCGTAAACTTTTTTTTTTTTTTTTGAGATGGAGTCTCGCTCTGTCACCCAGGCTGGAGTGCAGTGGCGCGATCTTGGCTCACTGCAAGCTCCGCCTCCCAGGTTCGTGCCATTCTCCTGCCTCAGCCTCCTGAGTAGCTGGGACTACAGGTGCCCACCACCACACTCAGCTAATTTTTTGTATTTTCAGTTAAGACATGGTTTCACAGTGTTAGCCAGGATGATCTCAATCTCCTGACCTCATGATCTGCCCACCTCGGTCTCCCAAAGCTCTAGGATTACAGGCATGAGCCACCGCGCGTGGCCGAGTTGTAAACTTTTTAAAAAGATGCACTATATTTATTAAATCCTTCTGAGATCAACTTAAAAGACAGAAATTTTAGGGAAAAATGACAGCATTTTAGCAATGTGAGTTTTACAGTTATCACAGATTTCTCACAAAAATTTTACAAACCACACACACACACGCACACCCACATATATATACTACTTTAAATACTGAATCTACTGAATTGGTACTATAGCCTCTAAACATCCTTCTAAAACCAATGAAGAACACGGAAAAAAAAAGAAAGGAAAATGTAACTATAAAAATTAAAACTAGGCCATCAAAAAGGACATCCCAGCCAGGCACAGTGGCTCACGCCTGTAATCCCAGCACTTTGGGAGGCCAAGGTGGGCAGATCACCTGAAGTCAGGAGTTCGAGACCAGCCTGGCCAACATGGTTAAACTTCGTCTCTACTAAAAATACAAAAATTAACCAGGAGTGGTGGCAGGCACCTGTAATCCCAGCTATTTGGGAGGCTGAGGCATGAGAATCGCTAGAACCCAGGAGGTAGAGGTTGCAGTGAGCCAAGATCAGTACCGCACTCTAGCCTGGACAACGGAGCGAGACTCCGTCTCAAAAAAAAAAAAAAAGAAGTTCCAATAACTATGAAACATAAGCTTGTGCTGAACTGAGAATCACTATTAGTATTTTCCCTGCCCTGTGGCCTCTGCACGCCCCATTCCCACTCTGTGAACATCCCTCCCCACAAGCATCCCTCCCCAAAAGCCCTTCTGACTCCTACACAAGGCCAATCTCCTCCTACAGAATCAGTTCCTACTCATCTATACCCATCATGTTTTAAGGCTCTTATTGTTCAGCAACTAATTACATCATGTCATATATACTTGAATATTAAGTGCATATTAATATAAAAGTAGTTGCTAACACATGGACACAGGGAGGGGAATATCACACACCGGGGCCTGTCGGGGCGTTGGGGGGCTGGGGGAAGGATAGCATTAGGAGAAATGCCTTATGTAGGTGACAGGTTGATGGGTGCAGCAAACCACCTTGGCACATGTATACCTACGTAACAAACCTGCTCGTTGTGCACATGTACCCCAGAACTTAAAGTATAAATTTAAAAAAAAAAAAAAAAAAGGAATTGCTATGGAAAAGAAAGCTGAGAAGTCAGCATTAACCTCACTTTATAATCAAGAAACTAAATGCACAGAGAAATGAGGACTTGTCCCACTAGAGGGCAACTTGAGCCCAGGAAGAGCGCGCTTACAAAATGACTTTCAACCTTTTCCATCAGTTCTCCCTTTCTGTGCCATTCAATTTCACAGACTCTCAAACGAGTTGTTGAACTTTTGGTACCACTTGAGAAAACTCAAGACACTACTGCCGTGACTCAGCAAAGCTTTTAAATGAATTTCTTCCATCACATCGACACCAACACACACCTGAAAGCACCTGCACGCACGTGCGGGAAGCAGCCAGCTCTTCAGGCCGCAGCCAGCACTGTGTGCACGTGGACGTCGCAGTTCTCGGCAACGACAGACCTCCTGCGCCTGCGCGAACCTGGCTTTCTAAACTACTTCAGACTGGCAAATCTGAGATGTATAAAGTTAAACCTAACACGATGTCTCCCTCAGACTCATCTGCCCTCTCTTCTATATTGCTGCTCCTCAACAACTGAAAGGGCGTCACTCTACACTGTCTAGAACGAGCCCACTCCTACGTTAATCAACACCTCCCTGTTCTGAGATCGCCCCCCTCACACCTACCATGCCAAACGCGTGCGGCAGACACCACAGCTCTCTCCCGCCCACGGCAGGGGGAAGGCAGAGCACCTCACGGGGGCCACTCACCTCTCCCGCCCAGGGCAGGGGGAAGGCAGAGCACCTCACGGGGGCCACTTACAGAACATGCTGACCGGTCCCACTCCGAATCACTGCTCATTGAACAAATGAGCTCCGTCTAGGGAGCGAGCGTGGGAGACACAGGCCAAAGGTGGAGCAGAGGACGAGGCCGTGCGGCTTGGAGACCTCTGAGCTACCTTCGTGAGGGTTACCATGAGATGCAGTCACCGCCTCTGCTGTGTCACAAAGGAGAATGGGCATTCAGGGCCCAGAAAAGAACACTTTCACCCCAGGCAGGAGACAACTCTAGAACATGCCAGCAGGGGAGGCTGCAGGGTTTCCACTGCTAGAAATGTACGTGAACCTACAAATTAGGAAAACCTATCTTGGACTGCTTACTCACACTGTCCAATAGGGTAGCCACTTGCCACATCTGACTATGTAAATTTCAATGTAATTAAAAGTTTTAAAAATTAAAATCTCATGTCCCGGGACACTGGCTACATTTCAAGTGCTCAGCAGCCACGTGACTGGTGGTTCCCACATCAGACAGCAGATACAGATACAGACACTGCCCCCACCACAGGAGTCCTGCCGCATAGCTCTGCTGTCTCCTAAGTGCTGTGTTGAACGGGGTCCACAGGCCCAGGACCTCAGCATGCGACTGTGTTTGGAAGCAGGGCCCTGAAAGAGGTGGTGAGAGTAAAATGAGGTCATAAAGGAAGGCCCTCCAGTATGACAGGGGTCCTTGTAAGAAGAGACTAGGACAAGACACGCAGAGAGGGACAACTCTGTGAGGACACAGGGAGAAGATGGTGTCGGCGAGCCACAGACAGAGGCCTCAGGAGGAACTAGCCCTGCTCACACCTTGATCTAGGACTTCCAGCTGCCTGGAAGGACCATGAGAAAATAAATGTCTGTTGTTTAAGCTGCCCAGTCTGTTAAGCTACCCAGTCTGTGGCATTATGTTATGGGAGTCCTAGCAAAGTAATACACTAAGAATACCAAAGCTATTTTTGTAATTTTTTTGAACACTAAGTTAAAATGTAATCACTTTTTATAGAAATTAGAACCAGGTACTGGTTTATTTATTCAATGCATAATCATCTAATTTGAGGTAAAGATCCTCTTCGTGGCAACAGTCATGTCGGATTCTGGGTTCACACTGCTGTATTCAGTGTAGAGGTCCCGGCCTCGAAGTCCTGGCATAAAGTTACCCACATGGTCCTAACAAAATCCAATATTCACAGAAGCCAATTTCTCAGGTTTAAGCTTTATCTTCCTACAGCATTATGGCTGATGAATTTGTTCTAATTGTGAAGGAATGGTTGTAAGTTTACATATAGTTATATACATATATAACCATATATTAGATATATCTAGAGCTTATTTTAATATAAATATACTGCGTCTAGACTTCACAACACTCTTTAAAAATTCTGACAGAATTTCATCAGCTATAAATGAACTAGAAAAAGTATAAGCAAAACTTATCTTTATCAAAAATAATTAGTTCATTTTAATCCAAGAATGACATACTCATGGCGGCAGAGACAAGGATAAACCTAAGCAAAGTCACTAAAAGATCTGATTCCAAAAACTCTTCAGAGAACAGAAAGAGATCATTAAAAGGATATGATACTCTTCTTTTCTTGAGACTGTTAGAGACAGAAAACCCAGAATTGTACTGTCCGCAAGCCTGTACAAAGAATAAAACTAATCCCAACTCTCATACCCACTTTGATTTGTTATTACTTAGTATACATATGCTAACCCATCTGTGTATGCTGTTGTATTTGATAGAAGTTTTAATGAGTTTATTTTGGGGGAATTTGGGAGGGGTGATCTTTCTTCTTAGTAACCCAACCCTTTTTTTTTTACTTTGGAGACCTTTATATATTTGGCTACTTTTATAACGTCACAGACACAATCACCATCTTTAAAATAAGGCCTTGATCCCGGGGCCGGTGGCTCACGCCTGTAATCCTAACACTTTGGGAGGGCGAGACAGGTGGATCACCTGAGGTTAGGAGTTCGAGATGAGCCTGACCAACATGGTGAAACCCTGTCTCTACTAAAAATACAAAATCAGCCGGGCATGGTGGCACATGCCTCTAATCCCAGCTACTCAGTAGGCTGAGGCAGGAGAATCACTTCCACCCAGGAGGTGGAGGTTGTGAGCGGAGATCGCACCATCGCACTCCAGCCGGGGAAACGAGCGAAACTCTGTCTCAAAAATCAATCAATCAATAAGGCCCTAATCAATCGTAGCTTACTTGTCCTTCTAACATGTCTCTTGGCAGTCCCGTCCTCTCCTGCTCCGAGCTGTTAGTTCTTCGTATAGAAAGGCTATGGGATTTGCGCTTCTGTTTTGTTTGGCGAGCAGTCGAACAACTTGCGCTTTCTGTGGGCATTACTTCTAGGAGGTAGTGTCCTGGTCACTCCTGCAATAAGCTAAAAACAGCAAGAAAAAACAGTGTTTCTGATACAGCGAGTTGAAACAAAAGAAAAACAGTGAAGAAGATAATGATGACTTCTAATTACAAGCTTCCTTACTATAGTTAACATTAACTATATAATTTGGAATATGACAAATTAAGATGTTTTAAGGTAGGGACCACAGCCTTTATTAAAGAAGTAATTTCTTTATCAAATTTCATTAACATCTTAAGTATCAAATGGCAAAAAAGAGGTTTAAAATTTAAAAAAAAAATTGCTCTCCCTTAACCCAACGGAATTCCCCAGGCACAGTCTACTCCCCCGAGGGAACCAATGTTAATTGCATATTCTAGACTACACATTCTAGACTCATGCTGTCCAATAGGAATATAATGCAAGTCATGGATGTAAATTTTCCAGTGTCCACATTTTTAAAAATAAAAGCATATGAAATTACTTTTAATGATTTACTTAACCCAATACGTTTAAAATATTTTATAGTCAACATAAAAAACAATGGGATATTTTATGATTACCTCTTTGAAATTCAGCGTGTATATTTACAGCATATCTCAATTCAAACTAACCACATGTGATTAAGTTATTCAAATCTCTAATTTAAATATTATGATTTACCCACTTTGGGCATTTTCTACTCATTCCCTGTTATTATCCATCCTTCCTCCCAATTATATCACTACGTTACTTACTACAATCTTAGGTAATATATTTACACACATATCTTCTTTCTTCAACTACAGATTTTGCTATTTTGAACATTACCTGCTGATTTTTTGCTATTACTGATCCCTCCTCCCATGAACACAATCCTATCATCAGGCCAGCTCAGCACCTCACTGTCAAAGAATGCCTGACCCATATGCAGTCAAAGGCAAAGCAGGACACGCCCACGACCTCCCAGACGCCAACATGCCTCCATCATCTTCTTTTAGAGAAAAGACTGGCCCAAGTCCCAAGAGCAGGGGATGGTTCTGTGAATATATCAGCGTAAAGGAAAAATACGCTAACCTTTAAAATACACATAAGGACTACGTAAACATCTAAATTCCAAGTAGACAGTTACAATGGTGACTTACGCAACAGCAATAGCCTGAGCCTCAAGGCAAGACCTTATTTCTGGTGTGCCCAGCCCTCTTCATTATCAACTCCTTAGACATTACCAGGTGCAGACACACATCCCTGAAATGCTACTCCTTTCCTTCCAAATGGCTCTCACTTACTCAATAGCCCTAACACCTCCTTACTTTGTTATAGAATGATTCCTTTTCTACAATATTTTAAAATCACTAGCGTTCCCTTCTTTTTAAACAAGTCAGCCTGTTTTGAAAAATAAGTTTATCTACACATAGAAGAGAGTATTCTTAACAGAGATGAAATGTATTCACAAAAAATTTAGAGTGTCTTCCATAAAGGTTATTAATAACATAAACAAGATCTTTCCTATTCAGTTTATTAAGCATTCTAATTATAATCCTAAATACCAAGGATGAAAATATTTTTCTA